>NC_000015.10:35701116-36004146 GCF_000001405.40 Homo sapiens | reverse complement strand
AAAAATGCAGATACCTGAGTCAAAGTCCACATCAACTGATTCAGAACCTTTGAAGATGGAGCCAAGAACTCCTCATTTTTACAGGCTCTCTGGGTAATTTTTGAGCATACCTTTGAAAACTACTGATCTAGGCCATGAAGAATTATTTTGATTATCTGGGGAACTTTGAGCCAGATCCTGCCTTGCTTCTTCCACACATATTAAACTTGCCATATTCTCTTTCAGCAGGAAAGTCACTTCTATTGCTTACACTTTAAGACAAAAAAAAAAAAGTTGCCTTCTTCCAAAATGACCCATCCTCAACTTTTTGTCCAGCCTGTTGCAAATGATCTGCTCTTGTACATTGTATCCTGCTCATGGACATTTTGGGGATGGGCATAATATCATCATTTCATTATGAGTGGATAATTATTTCTTTCAGTTGCCCTATGCAGCTTATGAAGTGCCACATAAACTTCTTTTACAGCCTCATTAGAGAAGCTGGAGAGCTGGAGAAAATGCATGGCTCTGTATGTGAGCAGAGCAAGAGCAGGGCATTTCTGAGCACTAATTGGTTGAACCAGCCAGTGGTCCCATTGTTCAGTCAGTGGCTACAATCACAGGAGTGCAGGTGACATAATTGTCCTTTCAAAGAAGGCTGTATCTATTTCATACTTTACCTGGTACATAATCAGTTTTATTGATTCTAAATAAATACCCGACATTTTGTTGCACAAATTTTGCAATAAAGGTTCCAGAAAGCAATCTCCCCACAACACAATAGCTGAAAATAGATTGTAGGTCAAGCAAATTGCAGAAGGTTAATGAGGCTGGAATATGTTCATATCAAGTCTCCTCATTTCCATGCACCTGCCTTGGAGGTTGATGGAGAGGCCAAGGCTCAAGCCAATAAGAACCTTGTACATGTAAGGCTCAAGTGGTGGTCACCTCACACATCTCATGCAAGAGCCCTTACCCAGCTTTGAGAAAGGCAGTGAGGCACATCTCTCTATCCTCAGATAACACTTAGCAGCCTGTATAATTTATTTAAAAGGAAGAAGTGTTTATTGAGCTTCAGCCATAACTTATGGTCCTACTGCTCAGAATCTATTTTTTGAAGGGTGCTACATTTGACTGCCCCTCCTTCCCCATTCTCCACTATCTCTGCAACACAGGATATCCTATCAACCTACATTGGGAGAACTTATCTTTTCTTTGACTGCTCCTTCAGGCCCTGGGTCTTATACCAACTTATTGGTTTGTACCAATTCATGTGTTTTGTTTTCCCTCATTTGCTTTGGAACCTGATGTGGCCTGTGCTTTCTGCTGGCCCATTTCAGTGCCACTGAAAGCTGGACTCAGTACTCAGCTGCAGCTACTGGCCCTGTCCACTCTTACATGTCCGTACTCCTTTTCTTCTTGAGTACCTGCCACAAGATAAACACCATTTGCGAGGTTCCCCTAATCAAACGACTTCTGTATCTGGTCATTCCAGATCTATCTGGCCAGTGCCTACCACAACTTAGTACTGACAGCAAAGATAAAGAATATTGATTGCATGTGACTATAAACTCTGTTCCCAACGCCCTTTAATGGTTCTTCATTGAATTCTGTAAAGCACATGAGGAGTGAAGAGATCAGTATTTTATATTACAGGTGGGGTGGTGAAAGTAATATGTATTGAGTACCTGCTGAGGAATAGACATTTTATCTTTCTTATAGCCAGAAAATGCTTCTTGGGGATGAGAGAAGAAAAATTGAGCATATACAACAGTAAAAACTAGATATGATAAAAATTACTTTAAGTACAAAGTATGAGAGCATATCATCATTTTAAGAAAGCACTGGGCACAAGAATGTGAAATATGAAAATAGTCAAGGGACGTATAAAGAGTAATTCAATATTAAAAAATAGTGCTGCAGAGGAAAGTTTAGAAATCTCAGATTCAGAGACTGGAAAGTTCACCCTTTAACACAATGAAGACAATGATCATGTCTATTGTGTTTATTGCTCTGTCCTCCGTTCGACTTGGTTTTTTAGGACATGGTAGAAACCCAAAATACTCTTTAAATGAATGCACAAATGAATGAATGAAATAATTTCTTGGATAGCAAACTAAACTGCATTATATAGCTGAAATACGTACAGTGACATTGGTGCATCAGCTAATTTTGTCCAAAAAAAAAAATACCTGTGTGCCTGCATCCAAAATAAATGCGGTTTTAGAAAGTAATACATTTTATTTTGCTACTTGATATTATCCCAATAAAGATTAAAGATCTTAGTCGTCTATCCACCTGTTTTCTTTTTAAAAATATAAGAAATGTTACCACTTCTGTAGTGCATTAATTTACCATACAATTTCTTAGCATGGTTATTTTTTACATTATTTAGAGAAAATGTGTCTTCCTGCTAGAAATATTTGCATCGTATGTATAGAGTTACTTATTGCTTGGATAATGCCCTATTAATTTCAATGGATTCCTTTTGACATAAAAATGGATTTGCACTGAAGGGCAAACAGTACGTCCATATGTATCCAGGCTGCATTACAATTGAATTCATCACATTATACATTTATAGGTGTCTACCCCTGTTAGACTGCTGAAATGGTCTGCCATAAAAAATGGCCATGTGAAAGCTGGTTTAAATTTCATGCATTTTTACTTGCAGAGTATCTGGTTAGATGAACAGAAGCCTCCAAGATGAAATCCTTTCCAACATGAATATGCTAACGTGACTCTCAGGAAGCAACACCTCAGCACTTCATCCAGTGCCTTTTCTTGAGATTCCAATGACAGATTTGTTTTAGGGTCAGCATGTTGGAAAGCGCGAAGAATTTATTTTTTCAAGCTCACAGTGGCACATCAAGAGAGGAAAATGTAATCTCTTTCTTGTTTGCTTTGGCACCATTGATGTTAGTAAGTGAAAGCCCCTATGTGATCTTCAAAAGCCCAATTTAGCATTTAGGACCTATTAGGTTATATCTTTAGAAATACTTGTTTCGTATATCTATTAAATTTTTTAGACAATTAAAATGTCTTTCTTTTCCTTAGCCTGAAAAAAAAAACGCCTATGAAGCTGACTTCAGGTTTGGAGGCCAAACATGTTCCTCAGGGACAAACATGGAAACCAGACTTAAGAATAATAGAAATCTTTCCGTTCAGGGTGCTTCTTTAGGAGAACACTAATTTTGTGTGATTTTTATCAAGTTTCCTTGTTTTTCTATGAGTTAGAAATCTCAAATGGAGGTAAGTGTGTTATGGAAAATAACAGTATACTAGTAGGAGAAAAAAAAAATCAGTAGATCTCTTCTATGACTTCGGCAAACTAAAGGGAAAAGTGTTAGTGCATTAGTGTAAGTGTTAGTATTTTGGGATTTTACTTCTGTCATAATAAAAACAAAATAGAACAGAAACTGATAAGATTAACACCAGATTTAAATCAAAACCTATAGGTTACGTTTCAGTTCTGTCCTTCCTAATTGCATGACCTCAAAAAAGCCATTGGCTTCCGCGGTGTCAGTTGTTTCACATGTATAATGGGGATAAAAGTACCACTTTGCATCTCTATACAGGGTGGATATTCCCTAATCTAAAAATCCCAAATCCAAAATGCTCCAGTGAGCATTTCCTTTGAGCATCATGTCATTGCTCAGAAAGTTTTGGATTTTGGAGCATTTCAGATTTCAAATTAGGAATGTTCAACCAATAAGTATACAATGCAAATATTCCAAATAAAAAAAATATGAAATCTAAAACACTTCTGGTCCCAAGAATTTTGGGACCGATTAAATAAGATATTGTATGTTATAAGCTTTGGAAATTTTAAATTAATGGTATTTGTTGTTATTTATTAAACTCACATTATACTTGCTTTTACTGGCTCATCTTGTCCCTTTTAATTCTCTTAGGTTTGGGGGTTTTTTTGTACTTTTGATTTCAGGAATTTAAATATTTCAGTATTTAATTTTTCATGCCTTAAAGACTACAGGTTTTTTAGGCATGGCCTATGAATTCTGAGTCATATCTTTTTATGGTTAAATTAATACAAGGTGGCTTTATTTATCATGATGTATTAATGGAATATGAATGAGGCACAGTGTATAAGGGTATCAGCTCCCTTATGTGAATACATGTGGGTCTGTTATATATAGGGGACATAGTGAATTGTGAGATGCTGAAGGTGTGGATGTTCCATTTCTTTTTCTCATTTCTTCCCTTCTATCAAAAAAATTTATTAAATACACAAGATATAGAAGTAATACGTATTAATGCGGATCAAACTGGCTTGTTGTAAATTTTAAAATATAGGGCCCATACTATTCTTTTGTCCTCCAATATGTTAAAAACACATATTTAGTAAAACTGTATTATAACACTCAAATTAGTCCTTTTTTTAAAAAAAAGCCTTTTCAGAGAAGTTAGTGGGTCAAAGATAAGGTGGAAAATTAACAGTACCTTGAGTTACAAAGGACTTGAATTCTTTCTGTAGCTGGGAGTTTGAAAACTATTAATCATGTTCTAACTTAAAAAGATATAAACGTGTACCAAGCAGAAAGAATTCTGTTCAGGTCTGCTGGCTCAAATACAATGGGCTGAATAGCAAAGTCCTGAGATTTCTTAGATGCGTAATGTTCTTACAAATGGTCCATGCTATGCTAATAAAACTATTGTGACTGGGAGCTTTTGCAGTAGAAACTGACAGATGAGGCAGAGTTAAGTACTTTTTCAGACAAGCTACTACAGTAAATCATCAAGGCACACAAACAATCATCCTTCATCAGTGTGCAATTTGTTTCATAGCAATTGCAAATCGAAAACAATGTAAACAAACAAATCGACAACTAATGAACATCCCCCACCGCTTACTGTAAATAGATCTACAACTTTGGAAGAACACTTTATCCAACACATTGTCAACTCATTGTAAACACATCTACAACTCATAAACAACTCATTACCCAGTATGTTGTCACCTCATTGCAATTAAAGTTGAATGCTAACTGTACTGTATGTTCCTGCTCTGAATCAGATTATACCCAAGGAAGAAAATGCTAAGGAGAGCCAGTTCAGGAATGAGAAGCCTTTTATTTTACTTCTTCCTCACATCAGTTTGACTTCTTAAATTATTCGCCAAGGTTTACATAGAAATTAAACTGCATTTTTACCCTTTCCTCAGGTAGCCCACATTTTCCATTTGCATAGAGAAGGCAGTGGTTTCTCAGCACAAGTTTCTTTCATAGAGGAAAAGTAAATGTGTAAAGTATTCCCCGAGCAGTAGTAAAACTCACAGCTTTTACTATAATTGCTTTGTGTGAACTGCATTTGGCATCCTTACCTGGTATACAATCTTTTGGTTAGGGCCAGTGTTTTTTACAGTCTACAGGATGATTATTTTTCGAAAGCAAACATGAACTTATGAATGTCACCACAATTTTCCCTCAATGTTAACTACCTAAGGATTTAAGTGGGCTTATTCACCATTCTGATTTACATAATCCTTACATCACATAGGAAGTATTGCCAGATTATATGGGTACGCCTATGTATAACATACGTGCAAATACATATACAACACATAAATAGATTTGCCAGCAATTTGACACATTAGAAGGGTAGATTTATGAGATGAGGGTATACTTTTATAGTTTTTTAGTTTAGTTTTTTTTTTTTTCCTTCTGATTCAGACCAAGCTTCAACTTACTTGGTTAATCTGTAAGAGAAAAGGATTTGAACTGGAATTCTATTAAATAAAAATGATTTACAAGCTCAATATGTAATCCTATGTAAACAATTATATATATGATTTAACATGTTTATAAGCATTACATTCATACCAGTCAACAGAAAAGGACTCTGAGGGAGTAGAACAACCTGTGATTCAGACATTTGAGTTCTCTGTCTGGCTTTGCTTCTAAGAAAGAAGATAGTTTTTAAAGTTATATTCTAAAATATCAGTCTTAGATTCCCCCCTGGAAGATTAGAAAGATTACCTCTAAAGTTTTGTCCAACTCTAAGTTTTATTCTGAGTATTTTTAAATATCTGTAGCAGAGGTCCCCAACTCCTGCGCCTCGGACTGGTACTGGTCCACAGCCTGTTAGGAACCGGGCTGCACAGCAGAAGGTGAGAGCCGGGAGAGCATTATCGCCTAAGCTCCGCCTCCTGTCAGATTAACTCGGCATTTAGATTCCCATAAGAGCACGAACCCTATTATGAACTGCACATGCGAGGGATCTAGGTTGCGTGTGTTTGAAATGCTTGTTCCCTAGTGCCGTAAAGAAATAGCACTTGAACATAAATTTAATTTTTTTAGCAAGGCTATTTTTAATTTTTTGTAGAAAGGGTATACTTGTCAACAGTTTTGTTATGAGAGTATACTGAACAAAGGAGACTATTTATTTATAACCTGACGTAGCTACCCTACTGCTGTGTCCAGTTTTTATTGGCTGGAACAAGACTTTATGTTTTCTATGTGTCTAGATTGGCTAGTAACTTAGAACTTTTTTAAGAGAGGCAAAGGCAGAGGAGAACAAAGGAAGGAGGAAGTAACTTGTGGAATGTTGAGAAAGGTAAAAATACCTCTAAATAAGGAAGGGGAACAGGCTATGACTTAATGTTTGTTTGGACTAGTATAAGTATGTTAGGGCAAATATTTAGGCTAAATTGTGGGAGTTAAGAACATAAAGTATATTAATTTTTTTATTATGGCTAGTAGATATTTAAGAATGTTGGCCAGGTGCGGTGGCTCACGCCTGTAATCCAGCACTTTGGGAGGCCGTGGTGGGCAGATCACCTGAGGTTAGGAGTTTGACACCAGTGTGGCCAACGTGGGGAAACCCTGCCTCTACTAAAAATATAAAAATTAGCCGGGTGTGGTGGTGGGTGCCTGTAGTACCAGCTACTTGGGAGGCTGAGGCAGGAGAATTGCTTCAACCCAGGAGGCAGAGGTTGCAGTGAGCTGAGATCACGCCATTGCACTCCAGCCTGGGTAACAAGAGCAAAACTCCGTCTTAGAACAAAAAAAAGAATGTTAGCACAGGTCTTTGAATAAATTTTGTTTTTAAGAGAAGTTACTATTTATTCCTAATTAGACAGGAAGGAAAGTCTCTTTGAAGAGGAACCTCTAATTTACTTTTCACAAGTGCTCTTTGTGAGAATCTAATGCCTGATGATCTGAGTTTGAGGTGGACCAGTTTCATCCCCCAACCATCGACCCCCTCCCCAATTCACGGAAAAATTGTCTTCCATGAAACTTGTCCCTGGTGCCCAAAAAGGTTGGGGACCGCTAATTTATAATATAGCTAGCACTGGGGTGCTTTGGAGAATATATAAGATGAAATGTTTTTTATCTTATGAAATCATGGGATGCATCAAGTCTTTAGAGCCAAATAATTAAATCTGAATACATTTCTGTCACTTGCTAGCTGTGTAACATGTCCTCTCTGACCCTTGGTTTCTGAGATTGTAGGATTATTGTGAGGATTAAAGATTAAAACACCTGTTAAGTATCTAGTGCAATGCCCAGTGATGAACAAGTATTCAAAAAATAGTAGTGATTATAATGATAATGATGATGACAGATGACAATGGTAATGATGGTGATAGCCAAACTAACTTACTGTCTTAGAGGGAAAACCTAGACCAATAATTCATTCATTCATTCAATCCTATATCCTCTTCCATATCCTCTTGGCCATTATAGACAGGTCATGATATTATACATCGTTTACATTAATGTTTTCTTAGGAAAATACTTTTTGGGTGAGCCATGGATTTTCTAGTTTATTCTTCTGTGACATTTTCTAGGATGAAAGTACTCTAAGTAGTGGTGCAATATTGAAGTAGGGCCTCCAAATTTAAACAATATTAAAAATAAAGATAGTATTTTTTACTGCAAAAGAGACTTTTGAAAATTTTCTTATATATACCACTCTCATAATAAGTCAATACACTAAATTATTAAAAAGAGTGACAGCTTATTATAGCATAAAGCTCAAAGAATACCGCTCTATTTCTTTTAAGGTATAGGGAAATTGTTTCTCTCTTCTACTCCAAAAAGGATCTCATTTACTTCCCCCTCTTGTCTTCATCTAATATCAGAAATGGAATCTTTGACATTTTTCAGAGATTTAGCCTTTTATTTCCATTGGCTGAAAAATCTAAATATTATTTATAAAAAGGACTATGTTAGAATTAAGACAATTAGGGCAGCCATTTGTGAGACAGAGTTGTAGGGAATGAGGTCAAGGACGTAGGGGAGTTGGGTCATGTAGGATCTTTCAGGTTAATGTCAAGACTTTGTGCTTTGACTGAGATGAGATTCTTCCAGTGCTCTGCGCTGAATAGACTGTAGTGGTGGTTGGGGTGGCAGGGGAGGACAGTTGGCGGCAGTGCTGGGGCAATAGTAGAAGCAGAGAGAGCAGCCAAAAGCTTCTTGTAATAATCCAAGCAAGAGATGGTGGGGGCTTAGACCAGTGTAGTGGTGGTGGGGTGGTGAAAGGTGGTTAGGTTTGTGATTTTTTAAGATCCAGGACTCCGAACATGATGATGGGTTGGATGGTGTGGGAAACGAAAGATGAAAACAGAAAATTCAGTGTCCTACTGAACCAGACTTACTTGACCAGTTAGGCAGTCAGTTCATCTCTCCCACCCTCAGTTAGTTCTCATAGAGTTTTTATGAAGATTAAATGAGATAGATGGCACATAATTACCCCTCAACAAATATTAGCTTTTATCTGTTCATCTGTCTTTTGCGGTATCAAACATTCTAGAAATAGTATTCTGTTCTCTGAGATTGTGACACAGATCATTTTATTTTATTATTGCTCTCAGTCAATGATAGACAAGATGCCACAAAATAAATTCTAGGACAGATAAAGAAAATGATCATATTATGTCATAAAAAACTGTAATGTATTAGATATTCCAAAGCAGATACATTTAAAATCCACTTTTCTTAATCAAAATTGGTGGACTGCTGGCAGTAACGGTTAGTCTTACAGGCCTGAGCCAGTAAAGAGGCTTCCCAGTGCAGCCAGTCATGTGCTCATGGCAGCAACTTCCCTGAGACCTGGAGCCATCTGGAAAAATTGGGCCTGGCTTCAAAATGGCTGCCAGCTTCCTCTGAAGCCATATGCAAGACAAATGTCTTACTTCCTTGGGACATTCTGACCTAATCAAGTGCTCAATTGTTTGTTTGTTTTCAAAGGTTCTATCCAATTTCAAATATTTCTATCCAACTACCTTTGGGTAATGCAAACTAGCTTGAGATATTTATTCTCAGGTTGTCTGGTGCTCAGCTCAATCATGAAGAGAAAGTGCTCACTGAAATGTGCTTTCTAGGAGGGTCAAACTCTTGTGATCACAGATTGCATTTCTAGCTCTCATGAATGATATGTTCATAAAAGTAAACAGGAGAGAGAATGGAAAACACAATAACATGATAATAGCCAGTGTTTACTGAGCATTCTCTATGTATCCTTCACTGTTCCAAGTATTTTACATTTAATAGCTCACGTGCACAATACCCTTGTTAAATATGTACTATCCTGATGATGTCCATTTTCGTAAGTTAAACTAAGGCATACACAGGCTAATTTTTTTTGTCCAAGCACAGCTAAGTGGTCAAGCCAGGATTTGAACCCAGGTGTCTAGCCCGAGGCTGTACTTTAAAGCATTACTCAATTCTGCTCCTATCATCATGTTCAGAAAAATAAATCAAGGAACATATCAACTCATACCGAGCCATTAAAAACATTTCTCTGCATTAGGAGTGGCATCTCATTAATACTAATATAAAGAGTGTAGGTGAGCTGAAAGGCAAATGAAGGTCTGAAAGCTTATTTACACTCCAGGCCTCTGGGTGGTAATCTCTACCATTTAAATGACCTAAATCCCTCATGCTGTAGTATAAACTATGTTGTTTTAGAGTTCTCTGAGACCATCTTTAAATCAGCTGTTCTCTCCATTGCCAGTCAGGTTAGAGCTTCTGGGTGGCCTTCCAAGAAAAATTCAACTAGAATAGACTGAAGAGTTTATGAAATAAAAAGACAAGATGACAAGATCTCAGCAGGAAAATAATATTATACCCTCCATGTGAAAATTCCTGGAAAAAAAATATGTTCATTCTTACCTCTCAACTCTTTCTCCCTTCCTCTATCCATTCTGTCTTTGTCTTATACACCTAGATTCCTCTTGAAGCCTATTGAATTTCCAGATGAAAATATGTGCTCCAAATGTGCTAATATCTTTCATGTGTGTAAAACAGATATAAGCACATTATGCTATAGGCAATAGGCATTTAAGACAAATAGTTGCTGAGATTTGAATCCTATGAACTTTATTCAACCAGGATGCTGTATAAAATGTTGCACAATGTCATATCTGCTCTAAAGTAAAGGAAGGATTATAATGATTTAGACCCTTAAAGGAAGCAAAACTCGTGATCCTCTATAATAATGAACATAAATGATTTTTAAAAAGGTTCTATTTTTTCTTTATTGTTTACTTTTTATTTTAAGATTGAAGCTTCTTAGTAATATGCATTCTTTCAGTGAATTACATTACTTATAAAAATCTACAGCTTACCTATGGTTTGAAGTTTACAACATTATTGGTATTTAATCTCATATTCATTTCTGGAATCAATAGAAAAGGAAACTTCATAAATGCAAGCAAACATTGCATTGGCAATATGGAGCTCACCAAAGCCAATGAAAGTTCAGGCTATACATTGTACTTAAAACAAATGAATTCTGCCAACCTCCACACCATCTGGTTATTTTTTTTCACTTTTCCATAACTCATCCTGTTCTCTCCTTCTGTACTTTTCTTATCCTTCTGCTTCTTTTAAGTCTCATCCTAATTTGCCCATTTTGTCACCCAGCTGAGACAATCTCAGACCTTTTCTCTAAGTCTTGGCTGACTTTATGTTAATTCCAGATAACTAGCTATGGCTGAAACATGAAGATAGATAAATTTTATATGAAAATCTGTTGAACAAATGGAGATGCTTTTAACAAGCACCTAATCTTTGCTTAAATAGATTCTGTTTTCTTTTGTCTTCCTACATAAATAAGATCATACCTATTGGCCTCCTTCTATCCCTTATCCCCCACGCTGAAAAATCCCTCAAATTACTAAGCAAAGAAACATTCATTGCTGGGCACTATGCTTTAATACCTACCCACAGTGTTTTGTCTGCTCTGCAGAAAATTTCAAAAATGCAAAAAATGGCTGGGCAAGTTTCGTCACATCTGTAATCCTAGCACTTTGGGAGGCTAAGGTGGGAAGATTTTAAGAGTTTGGGACCATCCTGGGCAACAGAGTGAGACCCTGTCTCTACAAAAATAGATATATAAAAATTTTAAAAATGCAAAAAACATAGAAGAAAAAAAGTCATTGATATGAAATTTCCATTGAAAACACAAAATGTTCCAATTGTTGGACATTTAGACTATTTTCTATAAACATTAATGAAAATTCTTAAACATAAGTAGTTGTTGATTGTGACTAAAACATATATTTTCAACTATTTCTCATCAAATTTCTGTAACCCAGGAATTTATCAGGAGGTAGCTTAACAAACGTTCAGATCTCTTAGACTTTATCTCTTCTCTTAGAGTCTTCCTACCTACAACATCTAAAGAAGCTACATTTTAAAACAACATATTACAGCAAGTTCTATATTATAAAATATGTTTATTAAAATAATGGTTTTATTAACTTTTCAAATCTATTTATTAAATTTACACAAAAGGGACTACTGATGGAGCATTTTGTAAATAAATGCCTTATGAACTTCGGTCTCAGATGTCTGCGAGATTTCTCATAGGAAAATGCTAGCAGTTATTATATTCTACTTTAGTTACCATAAATGTTGAAAATGCATATCCAACATGTATAACTTACCTTATAAAAATAAATACGTGTTAATTTGGTTTGTCCTTTTTAATACATCATTTCTCAAGTCAACATACAAAAGAAATTACACCTTAACAAAAATTTCTAAACCATGAAAGAATCAAAACTCTGAGTGAGATGTTTCAGCTGTCAGATTTGTGACCCATGTTTGCAAAGAGTGATGGATTACGAATGAAAGGGTTAAGCTGTGCATGCTGGTAGATGATAGTGAGGAAGTAGGTTCAGGACTCCAGGGTTCACGTAGGTCAAGGCCTAGTGGAGTCAAAGTTCAGGGATACCAAGAGTACAGAAAGCAGGGGACCTGGAGAAACATGCCCTGGAGAATTTCAAGGAAGTGAGGTCTAAGAACGCTGTTTGGAGCTAGGGGCTAGGCTATTGTACCAGCCCTCACCCAGAACAGAGACTAACATCATAACCCTGAATCAGCCTCTTGGATGGTGCTTACTATTATTGAAAAGGTTGAAACTGGCCATAAGATAAAAGGTGAAGGGCTGTTTCCTAGAACTTCCATGACCTAGTTAATCCGAGCCACCAGGGCACAAGATTCAGAAGGTTTTAATAGAACATTAAAGCAAATGGAACAATCCAGGACAGGCTTATCAGGAGGGCTTGGAAACAGATTAGACTAGAGGTAAGCGAGCTCACTAGGCCTTGGCCTGCCTGAACCTTGGCCTCCTGGTTGTGGCCCATTAGCACACACACACCATAAAACAATTAACAACAGAGTGTATCAGAATTGGGCCCTTAAACCAAATAAAGATGTGTGAGAGATGTGTGAGAGTCATAGAAAAACACAGACTCTGAGGCAGAGCAGCCAGACTCCAGTCTTACCCGTGCATGGATTAAATGTGGCATTCATTCATTGATCAACCTCTTTGAACCTGATTTTCTCTCATATAAAATAGTAATAATCAGTAAGAGTACTAATTCCTTATAGGTTCTATCATGTATGAGAGACAATCTAAAAAAAGGTAAGACATATCAAATATGAATAATAAGTAGAAGGCATTATTACATAATTATTATAACTATTACTTAAAATTCTAGGCTAGAAATAGAAAGTAAAGAGAAGAAGGCTTGAGTTTCTTAAATAAACACCAAAATCCAGTGATATTTCTCTCTCCACTACACTTCAGTGTGTCCATCCAACCAGCTGTCCCCAAAAGCCTGATACTTGTTATTCAATTCTGAAGCTCTTAAAACCCTGGTGATGTTAGGATTCTTTTTGTTGTCTAAGGTCAAAGTTATTAAAATTGCATAGGTGAAATCTAGTAGTAATCAAGATACCATTTACTGAGAACCTGCTTAATTACCATCATTGTGTTAGGTGAACCTCACATACTATTTCTCATTTTATCGTCACAAAACTCTATGAAGTAGATATTATTTATTTTTTACAAATAAGCAACTGAAGTTGAATATGATAATGGGAATTTTGTTCAATAATATGTCCCCCAGCATTAAAACAATGCCAGGCATATAATAAACATTCAACAAATACTGTTGGATAAATACATGAAGACCTTTATCCATGATCACCTAACTGGCAAGAGATGGCATAGGGAACTGACAGGCTATGGAATATGCATATTAAGTGTTCATTTGAGTGCTTGCTTAATCACAACTAAACATTTACATATATACTTTGCCTTTCTCTTTTTCAGATGTATGGATTCTCTTTTGATTCTGAGTTTTCAGAAAAAGCACTTGTTTCTGAAATTTCTGGGCAGATTCAGGAGAAATTCACTGATTTTTCACTAGTCAGTCATTGGTTCTTTATTCTGTGCCTACGTTTATCAAGAGCTCACCAACTTGAGGTGTCTGTGGGTCCTTCTTATGGTGTTATGAAATAGGCTGACTATGATATGAATATGGATTAGAGATCAGAAAAGAGGTCAGGAATAAAGTTGCATATATGGAGTTCATTAACACATACAGAATGTTCAGCAAATATATTTGTGGAATCAACTGGTTCACTAAGCCACTGAACTGGATCTGTTCATTGAAGAATGACTTGTAGAGTGAGAAGAGAAGAAGAAATAAACATGGATGGAGCAGCCTATAAAAGGCAAGCAGAGAAGTAGTTCACAAGACACATGGAGAAGTAGCTGGAAATGTGGGAGAAGAGCTGGGAAAAAGTGGCAACATGGCCACGAAAGCCAATGGAAGTACAGTCTTCAGGAAGAACTGAGTGATTAATTTTATCTAATTCAATTACAATCCGACGAGATACTTGAAAAGTCTCCATTGTATTTATCGGGTGGCAAGGCAGTGATTTTTTTTTTGATTACTGGTATGAGAAATCATAGTGTAATGTGTTTCAGGAAAAATTAGGTGGTAAGTTAGGAGCAGTGATAGACACCATTCTTTCAAATACGTTAACTGTGAAGATAGTGGAGTGGTTGTGCAGCAGGTAGATTTTTAAAGTTTGAAAGACATAAAGACATCAATATGGGGAAGAGGTTGAAGCTGAAGATAAATCCAATCTGGACTCTGATAGAAGTCTTTGAGGGAACTGAGGAGGAGGGTAGGGCTAGGCTTGGAATGTGCAGGGTAGTTAGCCATCTGTGCCTTGAGTAAGAGGATGCAGTCTTCTTACATCAAGTTAAAAGAGGTGAAAGGAACAGGATGTCTGTAAATTTGGCGGAATGTTTTCACATATTTTTTGCAAAGAGAGGTTGTGGAGTATAGGCTTGAAGAAAGTAGTGGAAACTTGAGATAGTTATAAAGAAAAAAGAAGATTGAGCTGGCAGGCAGTGTTGAGAACCTAATAAAGTTGATTTCCCAATTTTTTTTTAATTTCTTTTTCTATTTGGAAACAATTTCAAAATATTCCATCACAGATTAATTTCTTGTAGCTGTAAGATGACCAACCATAGCAGAAGATCAAATGTCCTATAATGGAGTGTTTTGTTGGAAGGAAGACTTAGCGTCTAGTTAATTTTTCAGCTAACTCCTGTACAACATTGGGTGAAATGCAGTTCTTTGATAAATGGGAGTGAAATATTTGTTTTGATCAGGGGCAATTGCAATAGTAGTGAAATTCCAGAATACCACAAGTAAAATGCTCACAATATTTTTCCAAATTGCAGCAAATATATTGGATAAGAATATTTTATAAACTGTATTTTAAATATATATACATGGATATTGTAAATACTCTCAAAACCTTTAGTCTCTTAGGAAAAAAAAAGTCAAAATCAGGTTATTTAACCCTGTTAAAGCTCTATATACCACTTCAAAAATCAGACCCCAAATTAGTGATTTTTTTTGGTGGGGGACCAGTTTTAATTAGAGATCAGCTGGAAGTTTTTGGCTATGGCAGATGTCATGAATAAACTATTAATTCGGGCTAGGGAAAACTTGATATATTTCAGACTTGATATATTCTAAACATTACTGATATAGTTTAGATTTCACAGCACCTATTCAACTTATCAAAGTTCTCTATTCAGCAGATCCTGGAGAGTTCTCACCTGGCCATTAACATTCCCAGGTGGGTCCCTATTTCACAGCAGAGATTTACTTTCAAGAGGATGAAATCTTTTCAGTTATTTAATAATGCCTTATGTGACGTATTTTTAAAAAAACATTAAAAATGTCACTCAGAATCCTTCCTTATTCTTAATTCCACTTGGAGGGAAAAAGAAACTTTTTAAAGAAGTGTTATTCAGAATTATTCCTAATGCCACTTGACGGGAAAGGGGAATTAAGTGAAGCCATAGTGGAAGAGCTGATAAGAAATGTCTTAACACAGTATTCTCACATTTAGTGTCAAGCATTCTGTTTAATATTGTTACCTATCAACCAGCCATTCATCACTCACCAAGTCATAAAACATTTATTTTGAGTAAGACACAGTACAGGGTTCTGTACTCAGATAGTTTCTAACCTCAAAGTGTTCACAGTTAAGAAGAGTAAAACAACAGCAGCAAAATGACGACTAACCATTAGTGCAAACATGGATGCATGCATCAAGCACAGAAATAGCACCAAGGAGGGAAAGATTTTCTCCACTGGAGGGTCAGAAAGGCATTTCAGAGAAGATAACATCTGAATTGGCACTGGAAGTGTGAATTTTAGTTCACTGTATAAAATTAAATGAGAGGCCTTCCTATTTTACAGACAATTACCATAGCAGAGAATGGAGATCACTAGGATATAATGCCTAAATAAAAAATCTCACATTCTCCAAGTTCCCCCAACTCACTCTTTTGATCATTCTTGTATTTTATGCTTCTATTGTACTCAAATATAGGGGCTTATTTGTACGTCCATTTTTAATTGTCCTCAAATTGCTTTCAGTTTTTCTTGCTAAAATAGAATTTCTTATTCTGACTCCATCTCAAACTAAGGCCTATTTTGTGCACAATGACCTTAAATGCTATTTGAATGAAATTCCATTCATAATAACCTGTATGTATCATTTTGTCACTGAAATGAAAAATGGCACATGGATGAGATTCAAACATGGTGGCTTAGTGGAGCCAAAATTCTGTTGTACATGTTTTCTACATGAAAAGATCCAGAACAAAAGGACTCATTATCAGATTACAGTCTCAAATAGAAACAGTTGGGAAATTTAAAGCACTAAAATAAGACAATAAAGAGGAAAGCCTACATGTTGGACTGCACAGATTTCTTGGAACAGATAATATGTTTAAAGTTATTTAATTGACTTATTTTGATATTTAAAATATTTACAGTACTTATTTATGCCTTTAAATAATCTCCTCTTTATCAAAAAAGATCTATTTTAGATGTTAGTCCATTTTCCGGCCCTAACCTTTGCTTTAACTATTTTTTTTTTTTTATTTAAAGCACGCATTGCTGTCTTAGTGCACAGTTATCCCAGACACTTTTTGAATAAAAATTCTTCAAGAGGAAATCCTGGCTTCATTACAATTCTCTTTTTAATCTGTTAAAATCCATCCAAATTTGCTTTCTCTAATTGCATAGGAGATTTAGAGAAACGTCCAAGAATCTCCAGGACTTGTAACCTTTTTTTTCCTTCACTTGTTTCCAAACTGTGTCTGTGTTGTCAGACAAAATATTGATATAGCTTGCTTAGCTAGATTTAGTAGAATCTAGGACAGTGATTTATAGAGTAGAGGCAAATCCATGCTAAACCTCAAGGTCTGGAAGTTTAAGGTTTATGTTGATATCTATTTGGAATGGTATTTCCTCTACTTGCTTATAAAAGTAAAATGATGTGTGAATAGGTAACCAAGAAACACAAAGCATAATGTTTAACATTACTATGCTTGCCACTTGCATATTAGAAGGTGTGTTAGTACTTTAAGGATTCTCAAAGTGAAAACATGTCAATGCAATAAAGAAGGGCAGAGTAGTGCTGAGAGTACACTGAAGATTGAACAACATCTTTTTAGACTGAGAGGGACAGAAAGCAGGCTGCAGGCAGATGAATTTCACATTAGACTAAAAAAGGAAGTTTATAGCACATCTGGAATCTGAGCACATGTATATGTATGTATACACACACACAGATGGAGCTGACAGCATATATGGCACAGACGTGTGTATATGTATATACATGCACACAACATAAGCACATGTGTAGAGTATGTGTGTTTCTAAATATAAACACATAGACTATTATCATTGTCCTCGGGGTATCAGCTTGTCAATCCAACTACTGAGAAACAGGCCAGATTGGCCTTTTGCCTCTAGCAGGATGTCCCGAGGTAGGCTTTTGCGTGTGGCAGGCAGCCAGTACAATACATCACCACAGCTGGATTAGGAGGATAACGCCAACAAGGCCAGACCAGGAATAGGAATAAATCCTGATGGTAGAATTATGTAGGGGATTTTAGAGATTGCTTATCTTTTTTTAAAATCCCAAACCACTATTTCCACAGCCAAAACGGAAGGAAACAGTTGTCATTCAGAAAAGGGTGAAGAAAAGGACAGTGGGGCGCTGGAACTAGGACATGACCTTCTATGAAGTTGAGAGTCCAGCCAGCAATTACAGACTTGGGAATATTGCAAGACAGAGTTCAAAGGTGTCCAAGAAAGGCCTTTAGTGTTTGGATCCTGGATTCAAGTTTCCTGGCCCTATTTACTGAGCTTTTCCCCAGGAAGTTAGGGATTTAAAAATAGCTCCACTGTGGGGTCCAGGTTTACACAGTGTGTTGATATCTTCACATATAAGCTAATAGCATCTACCTTAAATGAATAGAACTTGTTCCATCCTGTAGATCCTGACATTTAATCTTTGGGTTTTAAACTGATTCTCAAGAATCTGCTTAAATCAGATTATTTTCTTCAGGAAGAATTGGAGTTTAGTTTGCCAATATCTACTTTGGTTACTATTTTAACACTTTAAAAATCTCAGAATGATTTTTAAATAATAAGCTCATAACAATACAAGAACATTTTGCTTATTAGCATAACCTTTTACCAACCACATCTACTCCTCTTATAAAAATATAAGAATTCAGAATTTGCACTTGGTGGCCATCTGTTTTCTCTCTGAACATTACTTTTAAGTCCCTTTCTTTGGGTTGTTATTAAGATATTTTAAATCATGATGTTCTTGCATAGCATGTCAGATAGAAATAATGATAATAAAATAAGTGTGTAGAGCAATTTACTTAGAAACAGGAGAGAGCAAAAGAAAATTAGCGAATGTTTAATTCTAGGCAGAAGGCCAAACTATCCCAAACCCCCTCCTCCATCTGCCCTTGCCATATTTTTAAAAACCCACCTTCAAGAAGTATAAATTTCTTTGTCTACAGCAGCAAAGTTTCCACAGAGTAATGTGTAATGCGGGGGTTAAGTTCAAGGCCCTAGAACCAAACTGACTGAATTCAACCCCCAGCTCTGCCACTTCATGGCTGAGTGACTTTTGGAAGAGTACTTAACTCCTCTGTGCCTTGGATTCTCCATCTGCAAAATGGGGGTGATGTTAGTCTAATGGATGGGTTTGTTGTGAGGCTTACCTTAGTTAATGTGGGGAATGCATTCAGAACTGTGTTTGGAAAGCACTTAGACAGCACATTGTAAGCCTCAAACTGCTGGCTATGATGGCTTTTGAAGAATGCCAACAATCATAGTCATCTGGTTCATTAGTCTGCCTTTAGTCAAGGCTGCACATGAATGTAGTCTTTAAGACCTTCATAGGTGACCACTTCCAGGTGTATTTGTATTCACGAACATGCTATTTCCTAATACATCTGGAAAAAATGTAGCTGCTCATCCTTAACTCCTTATTCAACTCTTCTTAATAGGAGCAAAGGGGATTTCTGTGGAGTCAGCACAGTATCATGTCCCTGGTTCCCCCTGGTTAGTGTATATTTGGACTGTGGCCAAATCCCCACTAAATTGTATATTAATCATGTTCATTGGATTCTGCTGGAAAAGAATGATAAAAGAACGAGGGAGGGAAGCATTTTTATTAGAGCTCAATGTGTATTTTGTTTTCTAAACAATGAGCATTTGGGAACTGAGCTTCTGTGTTAGGAATATTTGTATCTTAATGTAAAATAATTGCATCAGGAAGCATTTTGGTTTTAGTCCAACTTCAGTGCCTTTTAGAATGTGCTAGTATATAGCTATCCAGGTGTATTTTTTTTGCACATTCTCATAGCAGGAGGTGCGTGGCAGATGCTTTTACAAGCACAGTTAGGTGCAGAGCTGACCAAAGCTAGAAAACCTCACTTATTGGACAGACGAAGATGATTCAAAGCTTCACAACTGTTTATTCCCCATTACAGTATTTAAATGTTCAACCTTTTTGTTCTCCTAATCCCTAAAATAATTATGAAAATCTACTTTTAAGTTAGATAAAATGTTCCTTAGTGAGTTAAATTATATAATTTCAGACTTGCTGTGACTATTGACATTTGAAAAACAGATTTTCTAAATATTATTGGGATTTCAATTTAGCACAATCTACTTGAAAAACACATAAAAGAGATTATCTTCAACAATTGAGACTGTTACAGCTTTCCCTTTTATCCTCAAATTGTATGTTTATTCCAATTTTTCTACTAAATTTTGTTTTAATACATATGTTAGTATCCTTAAAGGTCTTTTATTGATTACCATGTTACTTCTCTGTAGTAAAAATGTGTGTAAATTAAAATCTTATTTATTTTTATTTGGTATTAGGCTCTACAGTAAAAATATTTTGGATTTGGTTACCATTATTAATTTTATTGGTAAACAAATTATGAAAACAGCAGAAATAAGTTATTAACCTCAATAACAAAAATTATGTACAATAAATTTCATTATTTCATTGGACATGTATTTCTTAATGACATGGATGTGTCTGGCTTCATTTTTAATTAATTTGTGTGTTTACAGATGAACTTTATTGCCAGAATGAAACAGTTCCATATCAATTATATTTATTTTCTCATTTATTGTTATTAGAACTGAAAAAATTTGTTCACACAAATAGAGAGATGGAAATTAAGGTTTCCTAACAGCATGCCATCTCAATTCTTGGTAGTCCTGTGAGCTATATGCCAAAATATCACATCCTAATATATCATCAAAAATTATTTTTAGTGCTCTACATCTAACAACTTGAATAGATACTCCTTCAGTTTTACCGAAAGAAAAGAAATATATACAACCTCTCTTGCAAAAGTCTTTGTCACCCAGTCATTACAGTCATTCACTGCCTTGATTTCTGGGAAGTATACCAACTAGGCTTTACCAAGACCTATCAGATAGCCATTCATTGTTCTTGCTACTCATTCGTTTTGAAGCATTTTATTTAGCCCTGATTCACTCAAAAGAGGGTTGGAAAAATAAAAATATTGTTAGTTTCAATACACCTGTGAATATATTTTAAAATAAAAATCCTTTCATCTTATCACATACTTTGAACATATTTTGTCAAAACTTGGAGCTGAAAATTCAGTTCATTCCATTTTGGGAAAATATTCACCATTTAACATACATGGTAATGTCAGTTCTCATTGTCTAAAACCAATCAATCAAATCAAACTAAATTTTTGATATTAAAAAAAGTCTGATGTTATTTTTCAGTTCACAAATATGTTATTACATGCCCCTGTGACAGCATCTTACTTATGAGTTCTAGTTCTAAGATACATTATGTAGATAAGTCAGCAGTAAGTAGGTAGCTAGTTATAAAGATAGATCAGGCATGGAGATTTGCCTTAAATTTGTCACCTTGAAGAAATTAGGCTACCTGACCCTTCCTATTTCTGCAGGCTCTCTCTTTGCTTTGCTTTCAAGGGGCTCCCCAGTGGGAACCATTCACTGCTTGACAATATTTGGCAGAGGAAAAGGGCAAGATTCTTGTAAGAATCCCATTCTTCCTTCTTAACAGACATATGCTTAAGAAAGAGAATGACCTTAAAATTTATAGTGCTTTGATTACAAGTGGTTTAACAGATAACAATATTAAACATTATTCCTTCTTTTGGCATGCTGGAGCGTTTTATACCATAGGGCCAGATGAGTGAATGGGAAAACTTTCTTTTGAAAAGCAGGAGAAGAAGGACAATTATTAAAGAGGAGGCAGAAGAGGAGAACGAGCATTGTGTCTCAGCCACAGGCCTATTACCAGACAAAAGTTCACGTGGATGTTGGAAACCAGCAAATTGATTTCCTTACAACTATTGCTGCCACAAAGACCTTAGAATGGCATACAGCCCAAGTACATGTATCCCATGTGAAGACTGCTAGATTATAGGACTCTAAGTACCTCTGCATGTGATCTTAGCAATGGAACTAGTGCATATCTCATGCTTAGGTAGGAAAAGGGACTACCTACTTGATATGATTTTAAGGGCTTGAGGAGCTTCTCTGTAAACCCCACTGCCCCAGGTTTTGATGCCTGTAATTCCACTACTAAAGATTCATTTTACCTTTATCACCTATAAAAGTGCTTTTTCAATCCCTGGGGAAAAAGTCTTTGAATCATGTATCCTTATAACTTTGCACCTTACACTTGTACTTTACAAGTGTGAATGAGATTTTGATCCTTGTCTGAAAACATGAGAGTGGGACAAGTATAAAGATTGAAGGAGGTAGAAGGAGATAATGGCATAAAAAGGGATTACCGGACCCAGACTGCTTCATTTTGTTTAAGGATCATTATGTGCTGTGGCTTCTAGGTCCAAGGGACTCTTGACATCTATCTGTGAGTTTCTATGATCCATAAATGCAGATGAGCTTAACTGCATGAATAATCATATCCACAGTTTATTGTGGGCTAACATACAGCAACACACAGCAATTGTGTGTTACAGAGTCCCAACATCAGTCTAGGTTGTATAGATATTTTATTACTACGTTAAACCTTGAAAGGATTCCATGTGTTAGGTATTATCATCCTGTTTTAGGAAACAGAAGTGTTCTCTGTTACACAGCTAGTATGTTTGCCTGGTTTCAATGTCTGTAGTCTTTATACTATATACAAATTGTCTTAATCTGTAAGACTAGGCCATGTTACACAAATACCAGATATCTTTCCATTCTCATTGTTTTGCTTCCACACACAATTATTAGTGAGGACTATATTAAAGTGAAGATGATTTAGGGAGATGCAAGAGAGTTAGCATCACACATTCTACAGCTATCAACCTCAGGCATGGCTCTTGTTCTTAGTCTCTTTTTGGCCTGAGGTGGAACAGTCTCTTCTTCCCATGTGTTCTAGTTCTGTTGGCTCTTTTTCTTCTCTTCCTGGACATCATGATTTCCAACCTCAAATGCCTCTCTCCTCTAGTAAAGAAACTCATTAAGGTCAAAATTCTGTCCCCAAACTGCATACCTTTTATTCATTCAAATCAAAGCTATAACAAAGTCGGACCCTACTATTACTCTTCAAAACCATTTAGAAGCTACTTATTGTGTCTTTAGCATGCTCTTTAAGGGTCTCATGCTCATTTCAAGGAGCTCCTCATGGAAATGTTCCAACAAATGTGGGCTTCCCACTTCAAGGAATTGTTAGGCCTACTGCTAAGATGATCAAATATTATTTATGTTGTTTGCATTATAATTCCATGTTAAGTAGGTAATACGAGTAAGCAATGAGGCAGGAGATGGTCACTTTTTAGTACTCTTCATTGCTATATAGAATCAGAAGATGATAACTTCTCTGTATTTTTCCTTTGTGAGTATAACACCTTCCCTATCAAGTTCACAAAGTTGTTGTGAGGATCAAAATACATTACTTAATAAATTACTTATGTTTTCCTTGAAAACTATTTGTTCTGAAAGGTATGAAGTACTATGCAAATGGAAATGACATTTATCATCATTATTCTAACAAGTTCTTCTTTAAAGAAATTAGGATGTTAGGCAGATGAGTCATATGAAAATAAACTCTCTGGGTCTAGAAAAAGATCTGTGTGTAATCATTTACTGAACAAAGACAAGTAAGTCACATGTGCATCCAGGCTTACAACCTCTGGCTTATAGGAAAAAATTATAAATAAGATAAATCTAAACTTCTTATCAGCATAGAAGGACCTTCAGAGTTTGGCCTCTCCTTCCTTTTCAATCTCACCTTCTCTCTCTCTTCACACCCTATACTAACCCTCCTGAAAGCTTTATACCTTCTTACATCTATGTCTTTGTACATGCTGTCTCCCAAGCCTGGGATTTCCTTTCGGGTTTGTTGGATGAACTGCCACTCAACCTTTAAGACACAAATCTGACTTCCCTAGGCAAAGTGAATTGTATGGTTCTCTCTACTGCATACTCCTGCAGGGTTTGGCATGCAGGCCTACTGTACCTTTTTTTTGGAGATGGAGTCTCGCTCTGTCGCCCTGGCTGGAGTGCAGTGGTGCGATCTCAGCTCTCTGCAACCTCCACCTCCCGGGTTCAAGCAATTCTCCTGCCTCAGCCTCCCAAGTAGCTGGGAATACAGGCACATGCTGCCACCCCCGGCTAATTTTTTGTATTTTAGTAGAGATGGGTTTTCACCGTGTTCCCCAGGCTGGTCTTGAACTCCTGAGCTCAGGCAATCTGCCAGCCTCAGCCTCCCAAAGTTCCAGGATTACAGGCATGAGCCACCGCGCCTGGCTGCATGCCTACCGTTCTAATTATTCCTGCTAAAAATTATACGCCTTGGCTGTCTGCTTTTTGCTAAGCAATTTATTAAGCCCTTTACATTGAATATCTCAAATGTTAGTGATTAAGGTGTAATCATTTATTAATCTGTTCATTCAAGTTCATAACAGCTAGCTTTGTTGGCTGCATGAAAATAGAACCTTTCCAGGAAATGTCAAAAAATAATTTTGAACAAATTAACATACTGAAAACCCAGTTTGTGGCAAGCACAGTACTTGGCACTGGGATAAGGTAAATGGGAGAATTTCTGTCTTTAGGGAGGTCACAACCTAGTGGGGAAGCAGGCATTTAAACCAACAGTTGCAGTTTAAAAAGACTTAACATAGAACAGGAGAAACCTGACACTGCCTAAGAGTGGCCATGCATCCGCTACCAGATGATAAAGAGAAACAGGACAGGGGAAAAGCTTAATGAAGCAGGAAGTTATTCCCGGTGCTACAAGAAAGTGGAATACAAAGTTTTGCCTATACAGACAAAACTTTGGGGCACATTGTAAACTTGGGGTTGCTTTGTAAAGTGATAACAAATGTCATGAGGTCATAGGGTAGTTCACAAAATATTGATCAAAACCAATGATTTTTATCAGCAGCTTCTCTAAAGCCTAGAGCTCAACTAGGAAAAGTTGCCATCTTGCGCCGAGCATTCCATCTACCTTCAAAATGGAAAATATAAACATGAACAACACATTTGGGGTGACTGTGACCACCTGACCTCCCTCCTACCTTAGGAGACATTTTTCTCATTCCTCAGCTGGAACTCTTGCAGATTTTGACCTAGGGATTATCAATAGCAGAGACATTTCTCTCTTTCTCATTCTGTTTCCAACTACAGAAGAGGTCATTGATAAAAATGAACACTATTATGGTTTGTTTGTGTCCTCCACCACTTCATATTCCTATGTTAAAACCTAATCCCTAATACAACAATATTAAGAGGTGGAGAATTTGGGAGGTGATTAGGTCATGAAGGCATAGCCCTCATGACTGGAATTAGTGTCCTTATAAAAGGGGCCCTAAGAAGCTTGTTACCCTTCCACCACAACTCAGCTAGAAAGTGCCATTTATGAAGCAGAGACCGAACCCTCACCAAACATGGAATCTGCAAATGTTACAGGAAAGGGGTCCCAATCTAGACCCCAAGAGAAAGTTCTTGGATCTCACACAAGAAAGAATTCAGGACGAGTCCGCAGTGCAAAGCAAAAGCAAGTTTATTAAGAAAGTAAAGTGGTGAAAGCACAGCTACTCCACAGACAGAGCAGGGTAATCCTGAAAGTACGAGGAAGAATGTGTCCACCCTACGTACAATACTTGTTTATATTCTGGATAAAAAAAGATCATGAAGCGATGTGCTCTGCTCCAAGGGTTTGTAATAAAGGATTAATTTTCTTAGTTACTATATTTGGCAAGAATCATTATTATTACCTTTAAAGCAAAATTAGAAATGCCTTTGTTCTCAAGATATTGGGATATTAGGCCATTCCCAAGTCTGGGTCTGTTTAGTAAACATTATCAATCTGTTTCCTTAACTGTAAACATCTGGAGGCTAGGAATACCTTTCTGGGAGTGCAGCCTAGCAAGTCCCAGCCTCATTTTCCTAGCCCTCACTCAAGATGGAGTCACTCTGGTTTGAACGCCTCTAACACTGGTGCCTTGATCTTGGACTTCCTAGCCTGTAGAACTGTAAGAAATAAACTTATGTTGCTTATAAGTCATTCAGTTTATAGTATTTTGTTAGAGCAGCTCAAACAGACTAAGACAAACACTGAGAATGAAAAGTAGCCTCAACATAATCTCCAACCAAATCATAACCTACTACCATCCATAGACTCCGAATTAATGGACTTTTACAATAAGACATGTTAACATTGTTAGAAATGAAGAAATTATTTATTTATTTATTTTTTCGTGGAGACAGGGTCTTGCTATATTGCCCAGGCTGGATTCAAACTCCTAGACTCAAGCGATCCTCCTGCCTCGGTCTCCCAAGTTGCTGGGATTACAGGCATGAACCACCATGCCTGGCCTAGATATAAAGAAATTATATAAAAATGCATAATACAAAATATGGCAACATTTTAATTAGATTTAACAGAGCTTCACATAAATTAATACAGGACGCATCTGAAATATGAGAAAAACTGTAGTGTAGAAAGTTGTAACAGAGATTAAAAATATAAACATCTGTTTAGATGTTAAACTCATGGAGGCAAGTGTTTGTCTTAGCTATTTTGTTCTGCTTTCTTTTATTTTGTTCAACTGGCTCATGGGTAAGAGGAAGAGAAAAAAATAATGGCAAAAATATAAAAATCAATTTTAGTATATGCTGTATTTAATATATATTAAGATTTTAATACATGCTAAAGTTAAAAATGTAATACATATTGATTTGTTCAAAATTTGTGTTTGACATTTGTTGGAAAGTTTCTATTTTAATACAACTAACAAACTTAGTTGTTATTAATTTGAATTAACAAATTAGCAAGTGATTACACCTTAATAACAAGAATTTGAAATATTTAATGTAAAGGGCCTAATAAATTGCTAGAAAAAGCAGATAGCCAATGTATCTGGGTCTTAAAGGATGAGTGGCAGTTCATCCAACAGACCAGAAAGGAGATCCCAGGCTTGGGAGAAAGCATATGCAAAGACAAGGACATAAGAAAGTGTAAAATGCATAGCAGGTAGTTTAGGGTGTGGAGAGAAAGAGAAGGTGAGATTGAAAAGGGGGCAGAGGCCAAACTCTGAAGGTCCTTTTTTGCCATGATAAGGAGTTTAGAGTCTATGTCATTTATCATTTTTCCTACAATCAGTGGTTTCAACTCTAGATGTACACATGAGTTACCTGGGGAGATTTAGAAAATACTCATGATCATCTCCCTGCAACACGTACCAACACATAGACAGATTTTGCAAATGCAAATATAGGACACACAGTTAAATTTGAATTTTAGATAAACAATTATTTTAGTCAAGTATGCCCAGTGCAATATTTGGGACATACTTACAATACAAAGTATTTATCATTTCTTTGAAATCCAAATTTAACTGGATATCCTGTATTTTTTTCTGGCCACCCTATTCCATCAGAACAAGGGAATAGAATCTCTGAGGTGTGGCCTGGCCACCTGTGTTTTGGAAAGCTCTCCAGGTGTTTTTCATGGGCAGGCAGGGTTAAGAAGCCGTGGTCTAAGTCATGGACAATCATCCAAGTATTTCAAACAAGGGGGTGGCGTGTTTAGAAAGACCACTGTGTAGAGACTGGAAGAGGGAGAGGCTGGTGGCAGAAAGATCTGTGAAAAGATATTGCAGGCATCTCGCTTAGAGATGGAGTTGGCTTAAACCAAAGCAGTGGTAGTGAACATGGAGAACAAAGAAGATCCTTGACGACTGGCATGGTGACTAATAACTTGTGGGAAGAAAGGGGCACACTAGGAGCAGAGGATGGCCACTCACCATCCTTAGCTCTACTCCTTTCCTCCCTCCTATAGCTTGGGTTTGAGCACGGCTGCTAGGCAACCATGGACAGGATACTTATCCTGTATAAGACTCAATAATTCTTTTATAAAATGGGGAGGGGGTAATATTTACCTATTTTGGAAAACTGTTGTAAGGATTAACAGAAAAAGATACATTGAAAACCCTCATTATTTAATAAGGCATGCTAAGCACCCAATATATTCTGGCTGTTGTTACTATGTTGTTGGGATTATAAATTTAAGCAGATTCTAACACTTTCTCTTCGCCCTCACATCCTCTCTCCAGTTCTTTGCTGTTTCTGGTTTCTTAATCCTGTTTCTCTCCCCTTTTCTTCTCCCTCCCTCAAAAATGGCTTTTTGAATTCTACAGTGTCAGGAGATACCTGTTCAAGAACCTATTTGCTGAGGCCAGTTTAGACTCACTTCAGCAGCAGGAAGATAGAATCAGGCTGAATGCGATAGCCATTACTAATTCCAAGACTAAGTAACTGTAGAATGGCTTAGAAAATCACAGAACTATTCCACGATTCCATTCTTTAGATAGCTGAAGTAAAAGAATAACAGGCTCCAAGAATGTCACAATGAAAAGAGGTTTAGCATGTATAGACCTTCTACAGTGTTATGTAAATCAATATAATACCTTCACATAGGCGCAAGGTTTTTACTTAACTTTTTTAACCCGTGAAGATCTCCTTTTACATCCAGTATTCTGGAGAGGCTACAGGTAGAAGAGTCAAGTGGGCAGGCTCTTTCCTGGATGGATCCTGAATCAAAAATAAATTAATAAAACTTATGAACGTCATTTTGGGAGCCACCTGGGAAATTTGCATATGGACTGTATCTTAGATGACCACATGAATGAATGCTTATTTTTATAGTATGGTATGGCAATGGATTGTGGTTAAATGTGAGAATCCTCTTATTTTTAGGGGTATATCATTATAAAGGCTATAACTTACTTTTAGATGGCTTAGCGAAAATAATTTGAAAAATAAATACACATACAGACACACATAGGTGAATACATATCTCATATATGTATATATGAACATGTGTATGTGTATGTGTGTGTGTAGAGAAACAGAAAGGAAAACACAACAAAATTGATGAATCTAGCTGAAGGGTATATATGCGTTTGTTGCGCTACTTTTAAAAAGAAAATAAATTTAAATTTAGAATAAAGAAGAAGCAAGAAAAGTACGCTGAAAAATAATTAACACAGAATATTGTGGTAATGACTATTATTGTCAAAAAAAAGGTGGAGGAGCAGGTTCCAGAATCAGACAGAATTTGGTTCTAATCTAAGTTGGATCACCTGTTTATTAGCTAGGGAACATTGGGCAAATTAGAGAATCTCTCTAAGCCTCAGTTTTCTCATCTATAGAAACAGGGTAATAATAACAATAACAAGAATAGCTAGGTGTTATTTAACTGTCATTGTTGTAATGATTAAATAATAAAGGTAACATATTTAGCCCCAGTGACTGGCACATGCTAAGAGCCCGGAGCTCTCTTTGACCATTGTAATATCAGAGGACCTGAGAGTAAATTCAGGAAACAGCTAGCTGTATGTTCACTCTATGATTTCCGCTGGGTTACTTTTTTCTTTAGGATTTTTAAAATTTGTCTGCAAGAAACTGGGACATCAGTAAAAAGCTGGACCACGCTTTTGCAGGATAAATAAGAAGAAACAGAAAGCCTCTTTCTGTAGAGTAGGTAGCATAAAGGTGGCATTCCCTCTCAGTGTCATCTCTAAAGCCAGCAATAAACAAATCATAAAAAATGTGCTTGGAAATTTCAGCTCTACAGCAATAGCTGAAACAAAAGCAGAAAATTGTAGCTCTCTGTGTAATAACTAAGCCTCTCGTTATGTGCTGCTGTATTAAATATAAAACATTTTCATTTCCTTTGTATAGGAAATTCAATAGGGCCTGAAAAGGGGGTCAACCAAGTACTGCGACTTTCACAATAAAATGTGAGTAGTGCTAATATTCCTTTTCCAACTCTCGAGTGACTGCAAATAACCAAACAGATAAAATGTAGCTTTCATAAAACTGGAGGTTTGGTGGAGAATTAGCATGAGACTTGTGCTCTCCACTTGTTAGGGGAAGTTTGGCCAAGAGCTCAGATTTATGCCATGAAATTTAAATGGTTTTCTCCTGAGATTTTCTTGACAATATCATTGTATGTGGCTGAGTTAGTTTATTGGCACCTTTGTATGGGGATTGTTTTTGGAAGAGTGGGGAGAGTGTCGGGTAGGGGTGAGGGTAACCTATTGCTTTAAGAAACCCAGAACTTATGAGGCTCTAGGGAAGTTTAAACCCCAGAATTTGGAAGAGTAACACATGCAAGAGACTCCAAATGGTGAGGCAGAATCAACAACATTTACAAAACTACGTTGGGAAAAAAAAATAACATGATAAGATCACAGTTCTTTTGTTGGGGTGTTTATAACATAACACATGGCTTCATCTCGCCAGGCTTCTGAAATGAGAATCATATTGCTAGAAGATTTTTATGGATCAGGCTTTAAATTCACATGCAAGTTTGCAGGGAATTTTGTACAAAGATGAAACTCAAATAGAATTAAAACCCAGGTATTTTAGCATCCAGGAAAGGTTATTCATGGTGTGCATGATACAATTTTACTAACTTAGAAAGAGGAGATCACAGATTGAAGTTAAGGAGGGAGGTTAGGCCTATAAGCATTTCAAGCAGAATTTAATTACAAAAAGGGTGGCAGAATAATGGTGCACATAGCTAAAGGCAGCAATAGATGCAGGAATTGTAAATCAGCTCAAGCAAGCTGAGAGAAAAAGGAGATCAAAAGGAAAACAAATCAACTTTCTTAAAAATATCCTAGGGTTAACTGGAGCCAGCCTCAGTGGATCAGAGAGTCAAGGCTTTGTCCTTTCAACGTCCCTGTGCTTTGAAAAAGACACAGAAACAGCAGTTCACTGATTTCCACAAAGGCCGAAGACCTATGTCATCCACCCAATTGAATTATTTTGTGCTCTACATGTGCTCACCCTATATTGTCCGTCCCCTTACAATTTTATCTCCCCATGTATACATTTCTCACACCCTGGGTAGGACACAATTATTTCATTCTTGCCAACATTCACTATATAATCACCTTGGGAACTGACATTTCATTCTTGCCCTTGCAATACACAAGAGGAATTAAAGGTCCATGTCCTCTGTCTTTAATGTCCTATTCCTTCCATGCATTTCAAGGATAGTAGCTAAATATCAATGCAAGAAAGAATTCATCTCAAGCTGAAACTTAAAAAAAACACACACATCCAATAATAATTATACTGTTTTTTAAATAACTATATTTCTGGACAAGGAAATAAAAAGAAGCAAGGCCAACATAAAAATGCCAAAATAGCTGAGAATGCTTGGGAGATGGAGCTCACAATGGGACTGCCAGAAAGCTTGAGCTAACATTAGAAACATGTGAAAGCTGGCAACTCAGGCTCACGTGGAGCTAGAGAAACAGTGTTTTTGTATATTCCAGTTCCTGTTGGTTCTGATCCCTTGAATGTTGCTTGGGGTATTACACTCCCAATTCCAAACAAATTTCAGCTAAACCTCAAAATATTTTCAATGATAAGAAATCAAACATGATTTCTACTAAGCCTAAGTCAGCTCAAATTTCAATAAATCTTCAAGAGTCTATGTAGAATAGAGAGATGTTAACAAAACTCTCCTAGGAAAGCACTAACCATTCTTATATCTAATTTTCAATGGTTTTTAGTTTTGTCTTTTTTGGCTTTATATTCTTGGTGAATTCACTCCTTCTCCGTTGCACCTCTCAACCCAGCTTCTAATACTTCTGAATCAGGCTCTTTATTTTTTTAAAAGTAAACCAATTGACATTTATTGGGCAGGTGGTAGCCAGGCGTCTTCTCTGTAGGAAGAGAAAATTATTTTAGAAGTTTCCCCCACTCTCCTGCCTTTCCGACTAAGTGAATTTCAGCACCTGATCCAAATCACAAAGGTCATCCATTAGCAGAAAGCAGAAACTAATTTGTCTTTCCCTGGCACCTTTTATACTCCGCGATCATCTAATAGTTTGCATAGAGTTAAGTGGGAGCCTTAGACAAGAATGGTTTGTATCCAGGTGGCACATTAGAATGTCACCAAGTTCTTCCAGCCGATTTATAACATATTTTAGATATAAGGACCTACCGAGAGAGTGGCTGTTAATTTATTGACTAGTACACTTTGCATTTAATTGTCTTTTTTTGCTAGATCCCAAATAATAATTTCTGTTCTTAATTAATAAAATAGTAGCAACACAAATAGATTTATGTTAGATTTTTCTCTTTTGTCATGCTGTCTTCTCTCCTCTGCCATTCGTTCAACAGACTATTATTTCAAAAGAGTAGACCTAGAAAATACATTTGACAGGTTTAAACCAATATTTAATTGGCATCATGGTTACTGTGACATCCTAGATAGAGATGGAACGTATGGGTAGATTTACCCTCTGCCTCCCATTGGCTTCTTCTATAGAAAACAAGAGAACAGATTGATCAAGAAAACACAGAAGAATAAATAAAGGTGAAGAATCTGCTGAGGCAGCCCCACATGAAGAATTGCATTAGTTATTTTTAGATTTATGCTTAGAAGACAAAAAAATCTATATGAGCCCTTGCCTGCCTGTATCTTCCCACCAAGCTTTTAAATATATATATTTTTTTCTTCAATTTAATCACTTTGCCATTATTCCAGAGAAATACTTTTTCATTCTCTCCTATTGATTTATAACTTCTGACTTTTCTTACCCTTGTCAAAACTTCTCACATATGACCCAAGAGCTAGGGAACCAAAATCAGTACTGACCTGTTTTGAGTGTCATTATGTGGTGATCTTAAATGACCCCTAAACACTTTTGTCAATATTTATTGATGGGATCCACAGGCACTCTGAGTGATCCCACTCTGGAGAGGCATAAACCAATGGCAAGTTGAGCAGGGAGAGGAGGTGGTCCTGCTGTAGGCCAGGCTTGGTGAGGCAACATTGAGATGCTCAGGGGCCATCGATAAAATGTCAAACATTTCAAATTTCTGACTAGCTCTCTGGCTAATGCCATGATAAGCAGAACATGACTATTTCCTCCAAGGAACAAACGGACACACAAACATACAGAAATAAACACAGACTCTTTCTCTTTTCCCCCTCTGTCTCACACATGCACATACACACACACACACACACACACACACACACACACACACAAATAGTCTACAGGGAAATTAAGCAGCGCCAACAAAACACTGTACTGAGAAAGTTCTTGGATAAATTAACAATGCAATTACATTACATGACATGCCACAAGATGGATGAGGAAAACTTGGCTGGTATTATGTTCTGTTTTCAAATTGCAATTTATTTGAGGGTTTTAATGGATGCCTTATTAAAACATCTCGGCCCTGGTCAGGTTTCAGCATATGTCACAGTGGCCTGTGATTGATGACACCCACTGCTGCTTCTCTTGCACATTTGCAGGGAATTTAAGCAAAGAGGGAATGAGCTGAGGCCCAGCTTTGTATTGATCGTGAGGAGGTGTGCTGCCTGGGAGCACAGTCTAATAACATTCTCTTAGCTGAACTGCTTCACATGAAGGCATTTATTATGAGAACTAAAACGTTATACTGCTCAGAATAAAAGAATATTGTACAAACAAAAGAGTTAGCAGTGAGCGGGGAGAAAAAGAGAGGTTATGGCATGCTACGGACCATGCCTCGTTATCTTTCAGAAGCCACATTTCCAAGTGTTGATGGGAAAAATGAATAAAACTGTGCTTTTAAAAAAGGAAAAAGAAATAAAAGGAAAATGATGTGAGCTTTTTTTTTTCTGCTTACTTCGACCAGTTGTATGTAACAACTGAGTTTCGTGATGGACAGAATGCTAGAAGAGGATTGAGAAAAGAGCAGCCCAAAAGCCACCTGGAAAATAACCAAATATCAAAATTCACTGTAGGACATTCCTCATGGGGCCATCTGAAATCCTTCTTATTTTAATATATGTTGTAGTTACATTTTTTATAGTTCCCACCTATCAAATTTGTGAGAGCTATTCATACCTGAAGAGCATTTGTTCTTCGATCCACACTATCAAAATTTCATGGATTTCTGTCACATTTTAATTATAAAAAGGATTACTCTTGAAATCTTACTACTTGAATTGTTGTAAATCCTTATTTTCATTGTCAAGAAATTTGCATTTCATATTATTTATTCAGAAAAGCATGATTCCAGTTGTATAAATGTCATATACATGTATATATCTAGTCATTAAGAAAAAGACTGGAAGGATAGAAAACAAAAGGGTAGCAGTGTTATCACAAGGAAAATAAATAATGGATGAGAAAAAATTTTGTCTTATTTGGGCTTTTCTGTAGTTTCCTAATTTTCTACAATAAATATTTAATATTACTTTTAAAATCAGAAGAAAAAAGTATATCAAAGAAATTTGTGATGACTTGGTTTATAAAAGAGTAATCAGAAATGGATATATTTTTGAAAGTCTAGAATGAATATAATCTCAAAGACAAGGATTCATTTTGCAATAATATGTGAGTATTTCATAGTAAGCAGAATCTGTGCATTGAAAATTTTTAAAAATCAGCAACAGGTGAGACAGAATGCAAATATCCCCATGCAATACAGAAAAGCAAGCAAGAAAGCCAAAAACAAGAGAGAGAAAAAGAAAATGTGATGCATTTCCAAGCTCTGATAACGTTAGAGTTTGTCAATCCCAGTCCAAAGGATTTTTTTTTTTGCTTGACCTGCTATGATTGCCATTATTTGAACTGCCACATTTATTATTTTCTTAGCCTTTGAGGGCCTATAAACATCTCACCTAATTATATTGAATCACCTAACATCACAGCCAAAGCCAAAGAGGGTGAGAAAATGGCCACAGTCTTCCTTGAAATGGAAGGAAAAAATAGTTAAAGAATGAACAAACAGCAGAAACCAAGAACACTCGGGAAAGACAACTTTATGAGTCTCCCAGGAAATGGATACTGAAAACATTTTTTAAAAGTTGACAGAAATTGTTAAGTTGTAAAAATGGATTTCCTAGTATTGTCAGTTGAATGTACCTTCTAATGTACAAAATACCAAATTTACACTCTTGGAATAGATTGTGATAGCTTTGGTGGAGTGATGCTGGGGAAAAAAAGGGAAATGTTACTTAACCTCCAAGGCCCCTTTTTCTATTGGACTTTAGATTTCATATCCCACTTCTATGTCATCTCATGGCCCCTCATCTCTTGTGACTGAAAGTCTGTTTATCAAAAGGGAAATTCACTCTTTTTCTTTTACTACAGAAGTGGTTATATGCTATCACAAACTGTAGGTTTCTTTGCTCCAGAATGAAGAGCAATTCTCCAATCTTGGAGAATTACTTTAACTTCAAGTCAATGAACATTGACTGAACATCCCCTGTGTCATGATTACCTCTTTGTGGCAATAGATGTCTTTGAGAGCCATGATCTTCTCATTATGAAATACATACACCCACGCATGCCACAGGTTGGCAGCCCAGCAACACCAGGTTATAACTAAAGATTTGAAGCAGTGGCCAGGCGCGGTGGCTCACGCCTGTAATCCCAGCACTTTGGGAGGCCGAGGCGGGCGGATCACAAGGTCAGGAGATCGAGACCATCCTGGCTAACACGGTGAAACCCCGTCTCTACTAAAAATGCAAAAAATTAGCCGGGCGTGGTGGCGGGCGACTGTAGTCCCAGCTACTCGGGAGGCTGAGGCAGGAGAATGGCGTGAACCCGGGAGGCGGAGCTTGCAGTGAGCCGAGATTGCGCCACTGCACTCCAGCCTGGGCGACAAAGCAAGACTTTGTTTCAAAAAAAAAAAAAAAAAAAAAAAAATTGAAGAGTGCAGTGATAAGATATGGCCTCTGAACTTCAAGTGGTGAAAACAGAAACATTTACCAATAATTATTGTGCAGTTCAGCCTGTGAAAAGAGCTATGGCTGAAATAAAAAGCACAATATCTTTTAGGGTAATTCACACATTGTATCAGTGATGAGTTAATACTAATAAAAACGCTGTGACTCTGGGGTTGGGTACTTGGATAACCTCAAACTCTGAGTTTTGGTTTCATTTGGGTGATTCTTTAAATCTAAGTTACCAGAACTATTTTGAAGTGAAGGGTTGTCTCGCTAGTATTTTGCCTGAAAAGAAGCCCTTGCTCTTGCTGGAAGGAGAATAAACAGAGCCTTCACCAGGACAAATCCATCAGTAAAAAAAGTGGAGGGTATGTGGCACTTAGGGGAAATTTTCTTTTCTTTTTCTTCTTTGTCTTTTTTTTTTTTAGATGCAGTCTCGCTCTGTCACCCAGGCTGGAGTGCAGTAGCGTGATCTCGGCTCACTGCAACGTCTGCCTCCCGGGTTCAAGCGATTCTTCTGCCTCAGTCTCCCGAGTACCTGGGACTACAGGCACCCGCCACCACGCCCGGCTTTTTTGTATTATTAGTAGAGACAGGGTTTCACCATATTGGCCAGGCTGGTCTCGAACTCCTGACCTCATGGTCCACCTGCCTCGGCCTTCCAAAGTGCTGGCATTACAGGCATGAGCCACCGCGCTCGGCCTAGGGGAAATTTTCAATAGCGCAAAGCAGGTGATGAGCTCAGAGGTGTGAGAAGAAAGCAACAGCATTCAGAAACCTTAGAGACAACGTTGGGAGGCACTTGGGATGTTGCAATTTTCAGGAGCAGAATCTCATGACACTGTGGGGCACAGAAGGTAGAAACATGGGGGTGAGAGGAAAAAATGAACACAAAAAAAGGACAAGAGAACACAGAAGTAAAAGGAGAATGCTGCACAGTACACGAAGTCTTTAATTGAGGACACTGCTCTTTGCATAACTTCTAGATTGAGCTTCATGAAATACATATAAGTCGATGAGAGATAGAAACTCAGATCCCTACCCAGTGGTCGCTAAGTTGATATCACCCTCTGGCTCATAACGTTCCATCAATCACTCCATGGCAAAGGATATTTGATAACCAAACTAAATCAATCTTCATATAATCCACTCATGATTTGACTTCCCCCTTGTGTAAGCATGTTCATGGTGGTTTGTGTTATTCTTAAGTAATTCCTTTGCATTTTCAATTTAGGAATCTATATTATTTAGGGTTCTTGCTTGCATAAGAGACCAATTCTACCTAAATTAGTAAAAGGCTATTTCTTGAAAAACTGTCAAGAAGCTGGGAGAGTTGATGAGAGGTTAGATAACGGGAAATGGAGACCAGTAGATCAGCAGAGGACTGACTAGGGCTGGATGGCCTCATTCCCATGTCTGATGATTAGATATACAGGAAAGCCACTGGGTTATGGATCTCTCATCATGCCTCACGGCCTAGGTATTTTCACATGGTTAGCTGGGTTCTAAAAGCAGCCAGCAACAGAGGGCACCCCCAATGTGCAAGCTCTTTTCAAGCCTCTGCTCACATCATGTTTGCTTATGTCCCGTCAGCCAAAACAAGTCACACAGTCAAGCCCAGAGTCAATGTACAGGGGAGCCACAACAGCATGGTTACAGAAGCCATGATTCACTGGGGGTCATTATATTTAAACACTCAGCTTCTAGCTTCCATAACAAAGGGGAAGTGCCTGGAATTTTTCTCCCCTAAAACCTATTCAAAATGAATGAATGGAATAAAAGAGAATAAGGTGATATTTGGAAGAATAATGGATAATGGGTGGCCAAATAAATGACAAATAGCCACCATGGAACCGTAATTAGATTTCTGAAATGGGATTAACTGAAACCAGAGAGACCCTATTTTTATTCCTTGGAAAATTCTAGAGTGCAGACAGGTATCATCTGTAAGGGATTTGTGTCTTTCCTAAATGACCAGTGTCTCATTACAATGCATGTGAACTTTCCAAACAAGCCAAGAAAACTATGAATTATAATCTTGGTCTATTTTTTTAAAGCAGCCATAATAAATATTCCTCAACTGATTTAGGTTACATCTGTTCACATTTCAATTCTTATGTCTAAATGAAAAATAATAGAAGCCAAATATGAAATGTATATTTTAGAAGAATCTCACTGCTCTAGAAACTTGTTATGTGGACACACTGTTTCTTTCCCTTTGCTTTGTAAATAACAGTTACTGTACAAAACCACACTACTCAAAGTGCATAGATAAATGAAAATAAGTAGATATTTTCTGGCAGTGTAGTGCACAAATATAACCTCTCAACCTGCAGCATCCAAAGGTTAAATCGCAAAACCAAGTCCATTAACCTTTCTAAATGGTTGTGATATTAAAAACTGACTCTTAATAGCTAAGGGTCATCATCTAATGCAATAACCATCAGCAATAAAGAATTATGGATTAAGAACATTATCTATCTATAAAATGGTCATTTATGACACTTGTGCAGACACCATCTCTAAAATGCACAGATACCCATGGCCAAGAGTTCAGACCTAGTAATATACATTATGCTTTTATTAGTTGTAGTTATATTAGTGAGCTTTTAAGAGAAAATCATAACATTTTTAAAAGGTTCAGGGTGTTTACTTCAAACATGAAACTAACAGAAAATTTTCAGAATTCCCTTTCATTTAGCTATAATTCAGCCAGGTGGGGCTAATTAACTCAAAATGTCAAATACAAAAGAAAAGAAACATGCTTTTCCATTGTCTAGTTCCTGCGTTACAGAACAGATTTGGACTCATCTACGTAATTGAGGAACAGCCACTTACATAAAAGCTTATATTTCCTTTATCAAGTAGACAATTCTTTATTTGGATTGAGCTTTGTTTTTTTGTTTTTATTATGACTTAATTAATTCAATATACACGAATGAGATAATTACTATAGACCATCCGCAGGTATATCCTATGTTTGAATCCCATTCATTTCATATGAATGAAATATTGATTTCCTCATAAAGACTCATCTTCAATCAATATTCTTAAAGACCAGAAATTACCACAAAATACAATCTCCTTAAAAAGTAGAACTATAAAATAATTAACCAAAATCAGCTATATTTGCTAAACATACCGTATTAATCTATGTTTATAACCTACAAAAACAAGAGGAAATGTACTCAGGGTTTAAATCACACTGGACCTTGTTCTAAGGAAATGGAGAAAGGCAAAGAGAAAAAATAAAACAGAGACAGATTATTTGGAGGCGCTTTTTATTTTACTATTTTCTTTAAACTTTTGTTGATAACACTTTTGTGTTTTTCTGTGCGTTATTTGAAATTTGTTTACGTAGATTTCCCCCTTCTGAATATAGTTAATAATTTTTCTCATCACTAGAACTATACAATGTTCAGGGTTCAGAATTAATGCCCCATACCTATATCATTTGTATTTGATATTCCAAACTAATATTGAAGAAAATGCCATTGTTCAAAAACGCTGAATAGATGCATTACTAGGGATCTGCTATTTATGTCAGATTTTCTAACCTGTTTAAAAATGCATTTACAAGCAACTTGTGAATATGCATTCTCTCATCTCAAAGAGCTATAAAGAAGTCATCTTCAATAACTCTTTTAATTCTTTTTAAGGGTTGCTTGTTTTTTCCCTCTGCTTCTAGGAATCAAAGCTCTCATGAGTTCATAACCTGAGCCAAAGAAAAAGGTAGGTGATACCCTCCTGGACAATAGGATCCATAGCTACATGGTCTAATTCAGATCATCTGGGTGCACATTTTCACCCAAGAATCCTTCAAAATACCTATCACCAATATCTCATGATTCACTGGTTAGCATGACTAACATTCCTGATTTAGTACTAGTACCTAATGGATAAGGCTAAAAAAAAAATGTCAAATTGAATTGCTTAAAAAATATCCCTTAGGCCGCCTGTAATCCCAGCACTTTGGGAGGCCAACACAGGCGGGTCATGAAGCCAGGAGATCGAGACCATCCTGGCTAAGATGGTGAAACCCCGTCTCTACTAAAAATACAAAAAATTAGCTGGGTGCAGTGGCACATGCCTGTAGTCCCAGCTGCTCGGGAGGCTGAGGTAGGAGAATCACTTGAACCTGGGAGGCGGAGGTTGCAGTGAGCCGAGATTGTGCCACTGCACTCCAGCCTGGGTGACAGAGTGAGACTCCATCTCAAAAAAAAAAAAAAAAAAAATCGCTTTTGCATTGTGACTCTTTCCCATATCCACCCCCAACTTCTTGTTACCCCAGTCTTAGTTGAGACTATGTTATAACCAGTGCCAAAAAAACTCAAGAAATTCTATGGGCTTGAGTTAGTAAGTCATATTAGTAAATCACATATTGGTAAGTTATAAGCCGTAGTCAAAATTTTAAATTAAAAGAAGAATAATCTCCAAGACCCACTGACTATCTAATAATCATAGAAACATAGCTTTTGATTTTTTTCCCCTTTTATGGAAACCTAAATATTTATTTGACATACCAGAATATAAGATCCTTGGAAGTAGGTTTTATATCTTATTCATCTTTGCATTATTCAGTATATCTAACCTAGTAATCAGCTCCATAATGATATTTAAAATTAATAATAAGTATTAAGCATCATTTAGTTGAATGTTCAGTGCATTTCAACGATATTAACACATGATAAGCTCTTGAAGTGTTTCCACTCATGTTCTCAATAGGACCACTGTCATGGTCTGAATATTTGTACCCACCTAACACCCCCTACTAAATTTTATATGTTAGAATTCTATCCCCAAGGTGATGGTAGCAGGAGGTGGGGCCTTTGCAGGCAATTAGGCTGTGAGGATGGAGCCCTCATGAATGGACTAGTGCCTTCATAAAAGAAGCCTGAGACAGACCCCTGGTCTCTTCTGTTTGGTGACAGTACAGCGAGATACACCATTTATTAACCAGAATGTGGACTCTCACTAGACATTTACTGTGCTGGTGCCTGGATCTTAGACTTCTCAGCCTCTAGAACTGTGAGAAATGAATTTCTGGTGTTTATAAGCCATGCTGTTCATGGTATTCTGTTACAGCAGCCCAACCAGACTAAGACAGCCACCAGGTAGAAATGAGTAGAGAGTAGACAGCTTTCTTTCTTTTGGTAAATTTCCCTTAGGACCTGTCCTTTAGTGTGGCAACTTTGCCAGATTGATTTCACCACAGGATGTTAAAACAACATAATCATCAACCAAACTGTGTTAACCAGAATCCCCAAAGGCATATATTTTATGAAGTAAGTAGAAGCAATGCAATTTCCCAATGAGTACGATGTCATTCTAAATCCTATTGTCAGCAGTTCCAGTTCAAGGGTGCCTACTGCATTATCTATTCATATCGATATCTTATCTCTTCATACTGATATCTAGACTTTTCTTCTGTAGTTATCTTCATAACTTTTATAGTGACCTGTTGAGATTTCCAAAATAATATATGTTCCTTTTCATTTTTTTCTGCTTCTGCTTCTTCGTCTTCATCTCTTTTACTCCTCTCCCCATTTTTCTCCCGTTCTCTCTTCGCACTTTCCTTTTGATTTTTGTGAACTGCAAATGGCAGCAGGGTAGATTTTGTGTTTCTCCAGATTTCCTCAAATTGCTGAGCATCCAAGTTTTATTCTAACCACTGTCTACTGGATCATTAAGCAGGTACTGATATAGAGGGAAATGAATTCTTTTATATGAGATATCATTCTAACGTGTAAATCAAGTCAATCACTTTTTAAGTAATTATACAGAGGAGTATTTAAAATGATCCTGCAAGGAGGCATTCTTCTTATTCCAACAATACAGTTACTACTCAAAAAAAAAATTGGGAAATTCTCTGAAGTCTTCAGGGCCTCTGAAAATATTTTTTCAGTACTCATTTGGATATATAAATTTGGGTGTTTTATATTTTTAAATGGTTCAGAGAATTGATAGGATAAACAGTAGCTTTACTGGTCCTCATCAGAAGTCAGAAGTTTATTACATGGAAATATTTTTAACATTAAGTCTTTCAGATATAAATATGACTCTGCTCAGAAAATCTAGCAGGATTTGCCTTCCTTCCATGATTGAGTTTCCATATGACTGATAACAGTCGTAGGCACCTAAAAAGGGAACTGTCTCTGCAATCCTTTTATGGATTGAAGATCTTCTAAGAAAGGGTAGAAAGTAAAAATGATGGGGGCCTTTTCCCCCTAGGCAGCTCCTCCCTAATGACATTCAGTTATGGACCCTGGAATGTTAGCAGACAACATGAATCCCTTTCCTCTATTTCCAGTTGGATCTCCTAAAAAAAGTCATGTATATTAGTGCATTACAGTTCACTGATCTTGGGAGAGCCTTCCTGACTTGTCCAGGACAAAGACCTACAAGTTTATGTAGAATCTTATTCATTTTCATGACTTGTTTACTGCTATTCTTTCCTCACTCTCATTCCTACGCCCACCACAGCTCATGACATATGAAAGCACCTGATAAATATTTGCTAAGTAGATGAATGAAGGAATAGATGGCAGACCCTAGCTTATTGTCCACTCTTCCTATCTCCACAGATGCACTACAAGGGAATAAGAGTTGGGATACTCCTCAGGATATAGACTCTCAAAGGAAATACCCAGAATGCGATGATATTCCCTCTTTTCCTTTCTCCAATTTATTTTTCAAGCAATTTTTCTAGGGAAAATAATTCCTCCGCCCTTGCCTCATTTTCTCATCTAATATTCTTTTTTTCTAAATAAAAACTATCTAAATGTATCTAAATACCATAGTGGCTTGTAATCTATTTCTTCGAGTTCAAAAAATTGCTATTGCTCTCAGTACCCGCAACATAACATCTGAAATAAATTCTCTGGTTAAATTTTTGTATGTTAGGCTTTCTTTTCATAGAGCCTTCTTGGATGCTTATGTTGTCAGCATCTCAGAAGGTTCTTACTAAAGAGTTAGGATTTGACAGGCAAGCCAGCCGTGCCAATTATCAACTTATTGCCTTTCATCTCCGAAGCCAGCCTTCATTGCCTGCTTGTGATCCTGGAACATTCCTTCCTTGCCAGTGGGCATGAGGTTAATCTTTGTTAGTAGAGGATGCTGGAGGGACACTGGAAAAGGAAAGGAGCTCTGCTCCTGCCTCCCATGTGCTTTGTTTCTTCCTGTTTCTGCAGCACTGGGATGGTGTGTGGGACACCAAGTGGAGCTCATTCCCTGTGAGTACCGTGATAGCAGAGATGTGGTTTTGTTATGGGGCCTACCCAGCCAATCAGACTCTGGTAAATCATCATTAATGTGTCTAAGTTCATCATTATTTTTCAAGCAATTTTTCTAGGGAAAATAATGTCTCTGCCCTTGCCTCATTTTCCCATTCCCCTTACCAGTGGTTGGTCTCAGGATGAACATGTGATCAAGTTTGGGATGACAATATATGATATGTGAGGAGAAATATTCTAGAGACAATTACTTCTAGGAAAGATTTTTTTATTTAGCAAAAATACACAAGATAAAAGCAGTTGCAGTTTCTGTCTCTAGTGTTGGCATATGGAGATGTGATACCTGGAGCTGAGTGGCCTTTTCAAGACCAACAACAATAATAGTTGTCATGTTGAGAATGGCAGAACAGGAAAAGGAATAGAATTTAGACCTTAGGCGATGCAGTTGAAATACGGCATTATTCAACCCTGAGATACTGACCTTCAAACTTCTTATTATGTGACACACAAAAAAATTAAAACAACACATACTGTTTGAGATATTTGTAGTCTTCTAATTAATTGCAACCTAAAACATCCTAACATTTCTCAAAACAAATTTAACAAGCACTTCCTGCTCCACACCTGTGAACCCAGGAATCTGGTTTGATTCTGCAAAAGGCCGATACCAATCTTAGGCCCTGAAAAGGTACTCCTAGGACTGCTTGACAGGAAGGCTACTTTGTTACATCTACTATAACAAAGATGAGATCTAGAGATTTTTATTTTAAGACATGGAAACAAATCCCTCTCCTGACTTTAGTTCTCTTTATGCTTTCCATTTTGGTCACTTTAATTTCTTAAACCATGGAAATGGTTTTTCTTTGTAGCATATAAAAAGGCAAAATGGCAAAGTAGTTTAAAGCATAGGCTCTGAAGTCAAAAGGTTTTTGTTCAAATCATATCTCCTCTATATTGAACCCATTATATAACATACATAAAATAGGGCCTCTGTTTCTCAGCTTTAAATGGATATAATAGGATCTGCCTCATAAGATTGTGCTTGGAGCATAGCCATGATTGTGGTGACCTTATTTTGCATTCATAAAAACCTCAATTAATTTTACCTTGACAAGCAGACCACCAATAGACAGACTCTGGGAATGATCAGGACAATTCAGACGAAATCTTAGAGGCTTGGAAAGAATAATTGTACATGAAAATATACCTATTTATTTGGGGCCTCATCAAGAATTCTGAGCAGAATCTCACATCTTTTGAAGGAAAACTGGATTCTTAGGTTATAGGACAAACTTGCCCTCCATGCAAATTCAGGTACTGATGAAGGGCTTCTTCACTTTTGTAATAGAAAGGACAACACTGATGAACCTGAATAGCTGAGAGAGAGAGGAGCTGGTTGAATATCATCCAGCATCTCCACTACATGGTGTGTGTTTAATGTGATGTCTGCGAAGAAGAATGGAGATAGAACATTTCTCATGCTTTGAGAAGCAACAACAACAACAAAAAACATTGAAAGCTCTGCCTTTTCATCTGTTTCCCCTTACCTTTGATTTTTTTTTCCAGGTCAAATGGTAACAGCACTGAAAATCTGACTATAAAATAGGCAAACAAATCACAAAAGCCATTTTCTCTCAAAATATACACAGGCACCTCATATAGTGGTGGAGCTTACAAAAATTAAGTAAATAAATAATGGGTGAACACTGCCATACATTTCAATGCCTCACTCATATCTTGGGACATTTGCAAGTGTGTATTTGCAAATATGTGTTCCCGGGCTTTCACATATCCAAATTCCAATTCTGTGAAATTTAAATTGCAAATATTATATAGTTAATGTGAAGTTTACGCAGAGACTCCAAAAATGTATCTTTAGGGCACCGACACTAAACACAGTGATTTTTTTTCTTGGTAATAATATGAAAACTTGAATTTTTAAATTGTTTCCTTTAATAATAATTGCCAGATTTAGCACTGCAAATGGTTTGACAAGGCAATAAAGCTTTGTGACTTTATAGCCCTGTGCTTAAACTGTTACGCCATGACATTTGGTGACCATTAGGCACATTTAATCTGATAGATTCCCCCACACACCCCCACTCACATTCCACACCTATAAACAGCAAAAAGACTCTCAGAACGTTGGGACAAATTTTGAAAAACATCCCATGGTTCCCTGTGTCCTCATCTCATTATTAAGTATTCAATCGTGCATTCCTGGAAGAAGCAAAGGAAGCAATCATGTTTGAGGGTTAATTCCAGGAGTATTAGGCAATCATGACTGGAGAAGGAGCCACAGAAAAGCTAATAGCACCTTTTAACTCTCTTAGAGTAACTCTTGAGATTTATGCTGCACTAATAATTACTTGGCATACAAGATCATCTGCACTCTTGTTTTTTATTAAATTCTCTCTGTCACTGGAAAGGACACAGTTACATGGTTTGATATCTGCCTGTACTATAACGTAGCATTTGAGGAGTGCTGTGTTAAATACAAGCATGAATCAGGAGGAAATGTATTTTCTGACCTTATGGGAATTTGATATCTAACTAAGCATGGACATGCATTAAATCAAATTCTTGTCCAAATCTCTTGAACTAAGAAACTGCTTCAGGAAGTGTTTTTTTTTTTTTTTTTTTTTACACTTTGTCTACATGTGAAACAAACCTCAGACAAAACGCTGGGGTCTTGCTCAGGGGAAAATTGTTAAAATACAGCACAGCAGAAACACTAGGGAAACATAGTATTTGCCTAACAGATTTCACATGATAGTCTGCAATGCAGAACTGGTAGACCTGTCAACTTTGTACCTGAACACTTACCCTTCTCTATGATTTGATTTGGATATATGTGGGCTGTCTAGGATTTTTATGTGTCCCTTTATTTTTCTGATCATCTCTAAGCTGTGCCCTTAAAAATAATAGCCTTTTAGAATCACTAGAAAACTAAAATTTATCTTTCTTACCTTATGTTCATTTTTGTCCAAAACACACATATCTTGTTTTCAACATAAAACAAAATGTAATCAGCCACTTACAAAATAAATCCAGTTTACCCTAATAGAGTTATTTTTACAAAAAGAAGCTTATATGCAAGTATGTAGATGGCTAATAAAGGAATGTCTATGAGATATTTTCCCTGTCCAAGAATGCCAAGACCTCCAATATTTTTTTTCTAAATTCCCTGTTAAACTAATTCTGTGTGATAGGCAAATATGTCCTCCACATGCTGCTGAATTAAAATTCAGCTTTCAGTGAATAAGATTAATTGCCTCTTCAGACAAAGCTGGATTTGCGCTCCTATTAGAGAAAGGGGAGGGGGAGAAGCAAGGGGCAGGGTGCCAGCTAGACTGCAGTATTCAGTTACACGTGAAATGATTTGTAATTCTGAGTAATCACTTAGGACAAGCCCTTGCACCATTTTATCTATACATGACTCTAGGCCAAAGTCAATACTCATAGTAAAATAATGAGATGAAGCTAACTGAGCCCTTTTATTAATGCTCCAAGGAGCAAATCTGATGCTTGAGTCGCTCCCACTGAAAGTATCTACTTCTTCCTAAAAAAATGAACAAGTGGGTCAGGATGCCCAGTAGCAGCCAGGGTACCTGTTTCAACAAAATCATAAATAACAGACCCTTCCTGCCACCCCCTTTTCTGTTTGTGCACCAGGCTTTACCCAGCTGCAGGTGAAAGCACATGAATTTTGCATTACCTCTAGGCTCATTAAAGAAATCTGGCTGTCTCCTAATAGTTTCCCCCGACTTAGGGGACACACACACACACACACACACACACACACACACACACACACACACAGCATGATGAACCTTAAGAAAAACAATGCATAGTACTTCTGCTTTCTTTTCATCAGTCTTATGAAGAAAAGCGACTGTTCTAGCAAATGCACAGCTTGGTGACAGAGTCAGCATGCAACTGTTAGGGAAATGAGATGGATAACCAGCTGTCCCAGTTTCCTGGAAGTGGGGCATGGGAAAAGAGTGGGTAGTGGAAAGGAGGGGGAAGCAAGGGTTTAGGGAAATCCTTGCTTTTAACCCCCAGATTTTGTTTTCCCCTTGTATCACCATTGGTCAGGGGACCCATCTGACAAATAGATATTAGCATTAAATAACTCCCCCACTAAGTGGTAGGCGATGTATTACTCTTCTCTGTGCTATTGAAGGCCTAAAGGATCACTAGGAAGATTTAAAAACACATTTTCCTTAATGTTGTTTTCTAAAACTCGGATAGTGAGAGAAACAAACTAATTTATGCAGTGGGTAACATTGTCTTTTATTGGAAAAACGCAATAAAATGTTTCTACTCTTCACAGAAAAAGAAATGTCTGAAGTGACTTTTGCTTATAAAGACAAAAATCTCCATACATATGTACTCCAAAATCAGACAACATAGGTATAATAGATGAAAGGATATAAAGACACCTACATTGAAATTTCAGATTTGTCACCTATTAGCTGGATGACTTTCCCCAGTCTCTTGGGTATCTGTGAGTACAGTTCTCTTGTCTATAAAGGGAGGATTATTATAAATTTACAAACAAATTTGTTGTGAAGGGTAATGCTTAGTTCAACATCTAACATGTAGACGTGACTACGTGCATCTCTCCCTTCCCTACATAAAACAGACCATATAGAGACTTCAATTTAATTACTCCTTCTAACATTTATCTGATTAGAGCTTACAGTAGGTGACCAAAATAGCTTTTTGGAATGTCATTTCCATTGTGTGCTCATTGGTAGAGATGCCAGCAAATGTAAAATTGCCCACTGAAAGGCTTATATGAAGTGTTAACCAAATAATCACTCATGAGCCACAGAGACATTACTGAAGGGATTCTAGGACCTCCACACGAAATACATGCTAAGTTCACATTCATTACATTTTTCTCAGGCATCCCTTGGTTTTGCACACATCCTGAACTAGGAGTAGTATTTTTTTAATGGTGATATCCCATGACTATGTAGCTAGCACTGTCCTGGGAGAAATTTTCAGTTTACTGAGGACTCAAAGTATGCAACACACATATTCACATAAACAACTCAGCAACTTGCTAGATGATATAGAGTAAGGGCATCCAGGTAAAAGACGAAACACATGCAAAGTCTCCGACACTTAAGAAAGCTTGGTATTAGGGACATCTGCAAAAATTTGGTGTGATTGGAAAGCAGAGTGTAGTTGGGGGAGTGGAAAAAAGCGGGGAAGGAGGGAGATAAGCCAGAGCCAGTCAGATGGTGCTTATCAGCAATTCTGAAGTGTTTGCACTTAATCTGGAGACCAGAAGCTCTCAAATTTTAGTGTGAAAAAGAATCACATAGGGAGCTTGTTAACAATACAGAGTCTAGGTCCTGCTACCACTAATTCTAATTAAGAATTTCTGGTGTGGTTCCTTAGCATCTGCTAACAAGCTTTCTAGGTGATTTTGATGGGAGGTGCTACACAAAACTCACTTTGAGAAAGACTGCTGCAGGATATGGGAAGTCAGTCATTAGGGATTTATCAGAGGAGGGATATAATCAGATATATGGTATAAGAAGATGAATAGCTGCTGGAGGATAAATTGGAAGGTACCAAGATGAGAAGGAGATGCATAATCAAACTGAGAAGCTTTTTCAATGGGACAGGAGAGAAATTATGGGGCCACTGAACTAAGGAAATAGTCATGGGACAAGAATAAAAGGGAAGAGATATAACAAGCAGGACTTGGTGATTTACTGCTTAGAGAAGGGAAGAATCTTAGATGACTTCAAGTTTTTTGTTTTGGGTTTTGCTGTAGATAATTATATATTTGTTGAAACAGATTATATAGGAAGATGAATAATTTGGGGGATAGGAATTACATTTTGGACACGTAACGTTTAGTAAACTGGCTTAAAGCATGGCCTTTGGGTCAGATATGCTGAGTTTAAAGCCTAACTCTGCCACTTAATTTCTGTGTGACATAGGCAAGTTGCTTCCCCACTCAAATATAAAATAGGGGGAATCGGAAATTTTGGTGAGTAGAGAAGTTAAAAACTCAGCATAGTGCTTGAAAGGAGGTGCTTTAAAAATGTTAATAATATTCATGATTGCTATTAATTTTAACATCATCGTCATTAGCTAGCTGGAGGTATTCCAAAGACAGATGAAAATATCATGTAGATGAATGTTAAAACTTTATTACAGATAAGGTCATCCAGAGAGAGAGAGAAACATTTGAAGAAACCAGGACTGATAGAATCCAGGGAAATGCAAATGCTTCCACTGATAGATGAACTCAGTGAAGCTGAGGAGCGGTCAGAAAGAAAGAAAAGCCGAAGTACTGTAGGTCAAGTGTGTAGAATAGCTTAAGAATGGGAAAGTTGTTAACAGTGTCATATGCTTTAGAAAGGTGAGGTAAAATAAAAGCCAAAAAATGTCTATTGTGTTTGAAAAATGGAAAGACTGTGGTGACGTTAACCAGCATGGCTTCAACGATTTTGGAAGAAGACTCTTCTCAGGAGGTAAAAGTAAATGGGAACTTGGGGGATAACTAAAATAACTCTGTAATGGCAGAAACTATATGACAAGCAAGAAGAGTCAGCAGGTGGAAAAATATTGGGTTTTCTCTTTTAATAAGAAAGGGCCATAAGCACGTATTCAAACTTGAAGAAATGATCCAGTGGAGAAGAGAAAGACAAAAAGACAAAATCATTGATGCAGGACAATCTGAGAGGAGAAGGAAAAAATGTATTAGAAAATAATACCACGGGCCAGGCCGGTGGCTCAAGCCTGTAATCCCCACACTTTGGGAGGCTGAGGTAGGTGGATCACTTGAGGTCAGGAGTCTGAGACCAGCCTCACCAATGTGGCAAAACCCCATCTCTACTAAAAATAGAAAAAAGTAGCCAGGCGTACATCTGTAATCCCAGCTACCCAGAAGGCTGAGACAGGAGAATTGCTTGAACCTGGGAAGTGGAGGTTGCAGGGAGCCAAGATTGTGCCACTGCACTCCAGCCTGGGCAACAGAGCGAGACTCCATCTCAAAAGAGAAGAAAGAAAAGAATACCATGGATTGGTCCTGACCTGTCAGTGAAGGGAACTACTTCTTTGGCTCTGAAGGGAAAAACATCAAAGATTGGTCCAATTTCATTAGCCTGCCATGGTAGAACATAAAGCTGAGTGTATTCCTGCCAGAGAATATCAAGTTCCTCTCCAAAATTGGAGTAAAATCTCTGGTGAAGGTGAAGGGGATGTACTGGGAGGCGAGGCAGGTACTGGAGGAGAGAATTAAGAATTTGGAATAAGTAATAAGGGACAAGGGAGTTGGCCAACAACTTGTAAAAGTCACCAGGCAGCAATGAGACACATAATAGTCTGTATGCTTACTTGACTTTCCCTAGCTTTCTCTAAAGCTTGAGTGGTTGTAAGATCAGAGATGGATAATGGGTTTAATTTAGTTACATTTTCTAGAGCAGACGTGGTAGAAGGACAAGGCAATAAAAGACAGGATGATGTTAGAGAGAATGAAGTTAAAATAATAAACCAAGATTTAGAAGAGAAGAAAGTGAAGGTAGAGAAAAGCTGATAGACAGAAAATTCAGGGATCCAGGGAGTATGGAGCTCAATAAGGCAGAAGAACAAGAAGATTTAAAAAATAAGAAAAACAGTAGACAGAATTGAGGGATTAGAGTATAAATTAGGGGCATATAATTTCCAACATGAAGTGGTCTCACACGTCAATAAAATATTGTGTGTCAGTGGACAGGGCTGACATTAAAACATTTAATGGGTAGTGTAGATGGCTCAAACACTGCTGCCCCAGGACTGAAGCCATGCCTTGGTGCTCCTCTACACAGGACCGGGAGTCAACCCTATCGTTGCTGGAGTATGGAGAATGCTGGAGGGGTTCCCAGGGAGCAAAGGTTCATGCAGGGGGAGGGAGCACCCAGGTGTAAGTGTTTAGTAACCAGCACAAACATACTTTACTATTTGCACAGGCAGTATATACTGGTTGAACACCACTTCTAACCATAAACTGAGTGAATGAAGAGGAGGGAAGCTGAAGAGCATTGGAGTAGAAGAAGTTAAGGAGGGTGTTAGATGTGTTATCCACAAGAATGTGGAAAACATTCAGGATGATTAATATAATTAATATAAAAAATCTAGGAGATGTCTTAATTCTTCAGTGAGTGAAGGTCAGTGCCTTGGTGACTGAAGCAGCAACGATGAAGCAAAGAAAACAGTGTAATCTAATGGCATGGCAGTCACAGAAGGACAGGAATTTCCACATATATGGAGAAAAATCAGTGCTCAGGGAGTGACAACTTGAAATTAGGAAGTTGACTATTTAATTCTCTAGAATAGAACAAACTATTCTTTTTGGAAATGTAGGCATCAGGAGAGACTATTCAAGGTATTTGGTTTTGCTTTTATTTTCCTTTCTCCTCCAATGCATAGACCAAAATCTGAGGTTTACTTTCTGCCTCTCAGCCTGGAATACTTGGCTAATGTTCACGTCAGCTCCCATCTCATGTAACTCCTGGGTTCTGTCTATATAGATAGATACTGTCGTTCTTCGGTGACATGCAAGATAAACAGATTCTGAATGTGCTCATTTTATGGTCAGTAGGAGATGTTCTATTTGCCTTCCATCTAAAATGGGGCCATGTGAACAGGGGCCATGCTGGTTGTGGATGTGATGGTTAGAACCCTAGAAATTCCAACTCTGTACAGATTTTTCCCTTGTACTCTTCCTTCTTTTTTCTTCCCCCAACATACATTTCTCATGTCCTTTTGTCTTTCTCTTTTATTTCCTCTCTTGTTCCCTATTTAAACCTAACCTTTGTTTTAATATTCTGAAACCACACAGATGCCCCATTCCTTTATATCCAAACCTAGTATCTTCTCAAAAACAAAAACACATAAATAAAAATTGACTTATTTGGGCACTAGGGAACCCAAATCTGTATCATCAATTTTGTATATGTTCTCATTAATTTGTATCATTAATTTGCCTTTGTGTCTTATAAAACCAAATTTAGTTACTTACTTTGCAAGTTTTGTCAAGGGCCTCTGATTATTCAAACTGGCTCCCTCAGTTTCCATATGTGGGAAAATATCCATCACTTACCCCATCATTCTCCTGAGTCTGTTAACAGATTTAATAGTTTAAGCTACTATGTTACCAAGGAAATACATTTTTAAAGTCAAAATAAAGTTGGTATTACTATAATAGTGGCATTATTGAAAACATCTTATGCAAGTATCTACAATGTATGCTAAACCTAAGTGGTTAAAATGATTTAAAATGAGTTTTTATTGTAAATTATGAATAAGAACATATAAACATTTAAACCCTGCCTTTGAGTGAAAATTGACTCTTTGAGGAATTTTGTCATTTAGCAAATATCTTATTTTATACAACATAAAGGGTGAAAAGAAGTGTTTCTACTTAAGCTTGAATAAAACCAAAAATATATTGATTTAATGTATATAAATATGTGAAGTAAAAAGTGAGCCTTTTCTATATCAAATAAAATAAAATCACTAATAACTCTTGTTGTTCCATTTAAATTGTTATCAGAAAAAGAGTACTTCAAAACCCTGTGTGTTTTTTTTTTTTCTTCCTTCCTTTGAATACTTTGGATAGAAAATCTTAACATTTTATTTGATTATTTAAGAGTTCTCTTTGGAGTGGCAGTAGATAGAGCTTGATATCATTATGTATAAATAAATAATTGGAAGGTTTCCATGTCCAGATAAAATTCTAAAATCAGATAAGTGGTTTCATTTCATCTCTTATTATTTAGTGGTGGGAGGCCTAGTTTTCCCCTCCCCTCAATGGCCTGCAGTTCTCCCAAGATTTCTCCCCTGGGCTCCCCTGTGGCCTGAAGGATGTTTTCAGGATCTCATCAACCCTTTTAATCTGATTGCCATTCTGCATTTTAATCTCTGCTCCTAGGTCCCCTCATAAATTGGGAAGTACTACATTGCCTCCCCTTTCTCTCCAACTCCTAAGCCACATGCAATCCACAACAGTTCAGGAGTTACAAAAGCCAGATTATAGATCTACTTCATTATAAAAATGTGTTTGGTGGCACTTTTTTTCTGATAGCCAATAACGTAAGATTCAGTAAACAAACTTATAATTGCTTATGCCATTTAATAGCATGATGGTTGCTACTGATTGGTGCATGATTTATTAAAAGGTAAATAGAATTCATTCATTCCTATCTTAATTTTTTAAACAAATATTTGCTTAACACTTAAAATATGCCAGCAATTGGGCTGGCATTAAGAATACAAAGATGAACAAACATGTTCTCTGGCTTCAAAAAAACACAGTCAAGTAAAGAGACAGTCATGCAAATAATTATAATAGAGTAAAACAAAAAATAAAGTATACAATTTCATTTGGGCCCAGAGGATGGATGAACTGACAGGACTGAAAAGAAGGTCAGAAATGGTCAAGTTAGATATCACATAGAAGATGATGTTTGAACACTCTTTGAAGGAAGAATATGAGATAATATAAGAATGTTACATCAGTCACAGGTGTATACAAAGGCTCAGAAGGGAAAAAAAAAGCCCACAGGAGATAGTTACATACCCGTCAATACTTTTGGTATATAGAGAATGTAAGATGCCTGTTTATGTATCACTAAAATTGACATCGTAAATTCCTGTGAGGCAGTAAAGACTTTTTTTTCAGGATCAGGATTTCTTCAACTTAGTATGTCCTTGAAGCCCCATGGTAATGCAGAAGGGGGCAGGTAGGGCTGCCAGAATCGTAGAACACTACATTGGATTCTCAATGCCTTCCAAAATCAAGTAATGTGGCAACTCAAGCCCATTTAAAAGGGATACCATTGACAAACAGGAAAAAGGTAGAGGCACAAAATGCATGTTATCCCTTCATAGCCCTATCACACCATAGAATTGAATTTGTAGAAATTTAGAGAACTGAAATACCAGCAGAGTTCACCACCAAAAACTACACCACAAGCAAATTCATTCTTTCAAAGATCCTACTTTCTTATCACCTTTGCATCCTTCTGGAGCACTCTCACTGTAACAATCCTTTGACCTCACAGAGGAGTGCAATCTGTTATCCTTATCACTTCATTTCTATCTACCAAGCCCCTCAGGAATTCACTTCTCCTTTCAATAGATCATGTTCCACAGCCCCTATTTATAATGAATCTTTTGTATATGCCCTCAATTCCCTGGGCCCTTTCTTCTTCCATTACATTCACCTTGCAAATTCCAATGATGCATCCAACAAAAGCGTTGTCTCTGGGCCAGCGTTGGTGAAACTGAGATCTGCTGGACGAAAATTTCCTAACAGAGCAGATTGAGATCATAGGTAATTAATGGTCACCAGCCTCAAACAATTATTTAACACCTAGAGACCAAAGTGATCTCTCACTCACCATCACAGTGACTGTCTACTGCTTTCTTCCTGTACCTCCAACCATCCACCTCCTTTTTTTCCCAGCTGATAACCTGATCTTCTCTTTAGTGGATCATTACCATCAGCATTCATATATGCTCTAATATATCACACTTTTTTTTTTTTTTTTTGAGATGGAGTCTTGCTCTGTCACCCAGGCTGGAGTGAAGCGGCGCGATCTCGGCTCACTGCAAGCTCCGCCTCCTGGGTTCACCCCATTCTCCTGCCTCCCCTCCCAAGTACCTAGGACTACAGGCACCTGCCACCATGCCTGGCTAATTTTTTGTATTTTTAGTACAGACGGGATTTCACCTTGTTAGCCAGGATGGTCTCAATCTCCTGACCTTGTGATCCTTGTGTCATGGTGGTTTGCTGCACCCATCAACCCATCATCTACATTAGGTATTTCTCCAAATGCTATCCCTCCGCTAGCCCCCCACCCCCATGACAGGCCCCAGTGTGTGATGTTCCCCTTCCTGTGTCCATGCGTTCTCATTATTCAACTCCCACTTATGAGTGAGAACGTGCAGTGTTTGGTTTTCCATTACACTGTTGGTGGGAGTGTAAATTAGTTCGACTGTTGTGGAAGACAGTGTAGAGATTCCTCAAGGATCTAGAACCAGAAATACCATTTGACCCAGCAATCTCATTACTGGGTATATACCCAAAGGATTAAAAATCATTCTACTATAAAGACACATGCATACTTATGTTTATTGCGGCACTGTTCACAATAGCAAAGTCTTGGAACCAACCCAAATGACCATCAATGATAGACTGCATAAAGAAAATGTGGCACACATACACCATGGAATATTATGCAGCCATAACAAAGGATGAGTTCATGTCCTTTGCAGGGACATGGATGAAGCAGGAAACCATCATTCTCAGCAAACACACTCACTATTCTAATGGGTATTGCCAATGATTTCTACATCACCAAACCAGTTCTTGTCTTAACCTCTCAGCAGCATTCAAAAGTTTTTTTCCCACTCCTTCCTTCTGGACATAACCTCTTTACTTCTGCAATAACACACTCTCCTGGTCGTATTTCTATTCCCTTGTTTCTTCTCTCTCAGGCCCAAAGTAGAGCCTGAGATGAAGATTTGTGTGCAAGTAGTTGATGTAAGAGGTGACTCAAGGGGACAGGTGTTAGGGACTTCAGAGAGTGAGATAGGCAAGGAGGATGAAGGAATAAAAGTGTGTTATGAAGGTCAACATGTTAGTCAAGAGGAATAAAGAGATTAGTTCCTTTGTGGCCTTCTGAGAAGTATATAGAATTCTTCCCTATAATGGCCCAAAAGACTTTGCCGTTTCTTCCTTTTTAACCCATCAGTTAATTTTTGTGCTCCTTAAGACTCAGACCTGGGCCAACTTTTAAAAAATCACTTTAATATTCCTTCTCAGTAATTTCAGACATTTTCTTGATTTAAATGGCATATAAATGTTTACAACCTTTAAACTTTTATCAACCACAGAGATTGCTATTCAAGATGAAACTTAGCTTTCTTCATGACATCTCCATTTGGAAGCTTGTCAGGCATCTCATATTTAGGATCCCCAAACTAATCTCTTGGCCTTTCACCAATCCTGCCCCAAACCTGTTTCTTTAATTTTCCAAATATTAATAAATGGCATGTCCATTCAGGCAGTTCTACAAATAGAAACCTGGGAATCATTTTGAAAATCATTTCTTCTTCCTACCTCCATCCAATCCATCACCAAGTTCTAGCAATTCTACATCTAAACTGAATTTCAAATCTGCCTCTTTTTTTTGTTTTTCATCTTATTCCTCATCTAGACCCGGGCAAGCGTCTGTTTCCATTGTTGTTCTCTTATAAACCACTCTGCACACAGTACTTGGTGTAATATTTCAAAACCATTAATCGAATTTTATGACTCTCCTTATTCAAGGATTTAATTATCTTCAGATATGATTTAAGTAGGTAACAATTTGTACTGGTTTTCTTCGGGCAAGTCCTGGTTTACACCTATTGCTGCAGCTTAATTATCACCAACGTCCACTTTAGTTCTCCAAAGTGTCCTGTTTTTGACAATAAATTACATGGTCATGCTACCCTTAAAATAAAATACAAGATTTCTATAAGAACCACTCCCAACTCGTCTCACGTTATTACACTCTAGCCACTTTGAAAGTACCAACAATTTACAGGTTCAAGGTCTTTGTACTTTCTGCCCCCCCGAGTACAATACACCCTCTGTGAGCCCTCCTCCTGGCCAACTCCTATTCTTTCTTCAAAAATTTGCTTAAGGCCACCTTCTAAAATAGGCGTTTCTCAGTTCTGTTACATACATCATTTCCATTGGGACATTGTTTAGTATCGTCTTTTCATTCTTAATGCACTGATAAATATATTTGTGCGTTCATTTGTTAATACGCATTTTCCCCTCTATATAGTAGGCTCCATGAGGACAAAAAACGTATCCTCCATTTAGTAATATATATTACTGCTAAAACAGTGCTGAGTCACATTATGTGTGTTCTCTAGTATTCTTGAAACAGTAGAGAAGAGACGATAGAGAAATACAAGTCAAGGCCTTTTAATACGCTCATTTTATAAATCTGGATAAACAGAAAACCTCTTATTACTCTGACCTACTGAAGTGCAATGAAGATGTTCATAGAAAACGTGAACACAGAAGACATACATGAAATTTTCTAGAACTTTATGAAAATGAACAAAGTTATCTAAATTTAATGGAAAAAGAAACAAATCCCAGAGACAATATTTTTAAACGCTTTGGTAAAAAAGGAGGCTTTACTAGCGGTTTTAAAACAGTAAATTAAATAGATACAATACTTAATGAAAACAATAGCTTAGAACAAAAAAGCATATAGAAATATATATCAAATTATTCTCTGATTAAGGATGATAGATGGATAAAATTTTAGAGCCAGAAGGACCCTGGCTGTATGCTAGTTCAGTTCTATAATCTTACAGAGAAGGAGGCTGAGGCCCAGGGAGCTGAGGTAAAGTTATAAAGTCAACAGTAAGAAAAGATCTCCTGCTTTTGCATAATCAGACAGGTCTATGGCAAAAATATTTGTTACTTTACTAGTAACTCATACAAAATGTAGCAAACAGGTACAACTTTAGAAATAAAAATAAACACACAAGGTCTATAAGAAGTTAGCCTTTAAATAATCTCTTATACTAAGAACTGTCTCCTATACCCCATCAGTCTCATAACTGAAAGAGATTAAAATGTTGTGATTAAAAAATACACATTTATATCTATAGCATCCATTCGCAAAGGTAAATTATTCAATTATACTTCAAGAGTTTTGCTCTTGCTGCCCAGGCTGGAGTGCAGTAACACCATCTTGGCTCACTGCAACCTCCACCTCCTGGGTTCAAGTGATTCTTCTGCCTCAGGCTCTCGAGTAGCTGGAATTACAGGTGCCTGCCACCATGTCCAGCTAATTTTTTGTATTTTTAGTAGAGATGGGGTTTCATCATGTTGGCCAGGCTGGTCTTGAACTCCTGACCTCAGGTGATCCACCCTCCTTGGCCTCCCAAAGTTCAGGGATTACAGGTGTGAGCCACCATGCCCGGCCAAAATAAAGTAGCTTTTTCAATGAAATAAAATAACAACTATATTGTCATATAGTTAACAAAATACCTTATTTTCTTTAACAAAAATTGTTCTTTATTGGGTTTCTTCCTTTTAATGAATTTTATTTTTCACTTTATGACATGTCTTTATGTAAGTTATTCTAACAGTGAACTCACAGTCCCTTACTAAATTTTAAGTCTTCAAAAACACATATTTCACAGAGGGGTAGTTACTTTAAAGAGTTTAATTCTAGCATCATATACCGGATGCTTTCTTTGCATGTTAAAATCACATATTCCTTTATAGAAAGCTCACACCATTTGTTTTTCAAAACAAAACACGTCACCTATCCATCTCTCTACCCCAAATAGGAAAGTCATATTACAATAAGAAGAATGCCCCCCATGGAGGACCCATCACTGCCATACAGCAGCAAGAAAGGCGAGATGAGCACAATGGTGTATGTAACACTGCTCTACGCCGACAGATGTCCCATTGCAACTCCTGAGACTTGGAGGCCAAATGTTTTCTCTACCGACATTCTATGCCCTCAGGAATTCCTCCACAAATCCAGATCTTACACACAGCATATTATTTGTCTGACTCCAGAATGTGAATATGGTCTGCTAATTTTTATGCTGTACCCTGCTTTTAATAAATGTTTACATTACATATTTAAATATGAATATTAAAGAATGAAAGTGCTTTTAGTACATATTAAAGGGAACATAATTTCTTTACAATAAAAATACTAGTCAAAGAGCCTCGGTAATACAACAATTGACTAAAATGGAGAGATATATATGGAAGAAATTATTTCTCCATCAAGGCTCTCCAATGTAGGACGTTTTTTCAAACTGGAAAACTTGCCACGCAGAATATTCTCCACCCCAGAAATATAAGCCAGTATTTAGCAATTATAAGAAAAACAACTTTGAAGGCTGGTAAGATCTCTGTGTGAGGTTTTCACGGCAAAGACCTTATTTCAGATACGTCATGTCTAACTCGGAAATTGTAATTACTTTGATAGAAGTTCAGGGCTCGACTTCTTTTCTTGAGTATTTCAGCTTCCCTTCTTTGAGGTGGGAAAAGTGACTAATGATAGCCTGGAAATGATTAACTTAAAAAGAAACAGCTAAGAGTATTTGATCTTCTTTTGATGAAGTGTGAACACTTGATCCTTTCCCCCAAAGTGGAACTGGACTAAGCCAGCTCTGAGAGAATGAAAAGAGTGTGAGTAGAGGAGTGAGAGGAATGCATTTGTTCTTGTTCCTTTATCTCAGTGAAGCTACTTTAACTGGTGGAAACTGCTGATAGTCAATCTCATATTTTCACTTGGCGTTTGACATCAATGTTGTCAATAGAGACATAATTGTCTCTGTCAAAAGCATCATTCATTTCCAAATTGCAGAGTTATTTACAGTCGTGTCTTCACTCAATGTAACACTACCACTCAACACTCAGCTGTTCCTTCTCTGTTTTAACTAAACATTCGGGCAGACTTTTAAAGAAGCTCTATTTTAGATTAGGCTAACAACCCGAAAATGAACCCAAAGAGAAAAACTTCTCTTGTCCAAATACCATGTCGAAAATGGATAGAATTTTTCACAAAAACTGGCATTTCAAAATGAGCTCTGTTTGGTAAGGGACATGGTGCTGAAAAGCGACACTTATAATGACAGCAATGTGGATCCCCAATAAAGAAGACTGGGTTGTATTGTGCTCTAATTATAACCATTTTAAGTTTTAAGTGTGTGTGTGTGTGTGTGTGTGTGTGTGTTTAGTCTGGAAATCAATTATAATAATATTGCTTCCAGTTAAGCATCTACTATAAATCTCTGTTTATAGAAACATGGTTGATATGGGTCTTTGATTATAGTTAAATAGGAAATATTGTGAGGAAAACTTAGTCTTCTGTTTCTAAGGACCCAAATGAGTAACTACTTACTTCATAGTTTCTATGCACCCAGCATGGTGCTAGAAGCTGTCTAGCATATAAAAGAATGGTGGTGATATAAACGAAATAAAAACTCATGGAAATCACGCAATGTTTTTTTGAAAAAACTTGCTGTAATTTGGTTGTCTCACCATCTTCTCTTTCAGAGAACAAATTTACCGTATCAAAAAGAAAAAAAGGAAGGAAAAAAACCTCTGTATTTCCCAGAGGCAACTACTTATGTCTTGTTACTAGCAGAAGACATGATAATGGTAAAGAGGCAGTGCATGAAATTTGGAAAATTGGAGGCAGGTTTCAAGCTAATTTGATAGATTTTGATAAACAGAATTTTGATAGTGCTTTTCCTAAGAAAAGTATTACTATAAATCCACGTGGGATCCCTTACCCTTGATGAAAATGTACTGAGTAGATAAACTAAAATACACATACATATATATCAAGCACTCCAAATATGTTTTTGTCATCTGGACAAATTGGAACTTGGATTATTTTGAAACCAGTGCATTTTTAAGTAACAACAGCTACTACTTACTGTAAGCCTATTGTGTGCCAGGTATCTTGCATACATGATCTCATTCAAGCCTACACTCCAGACCATAAATGTATGATCATTACTTGCATTTCATAGATTAGGTAAGTAAGGTGTGCAGAGATTCAAGGATTTTCTTAAATCTTTGTAGTTAATATTAATAGTGGTGTAGCTAGCATTACCACCAATGTAAGTAATAGGATTTTTACATGGATTTTTCTCTTTTACATCTCACAACAACACCGAGGTAGGAACTATTAATATCCTCATTTTTACAGATAAAGAAACCAATAAAAATGTTAGCCTTTTAACAACTCATGTTGTAAAGGACCTTACTTAGCTCATATGTGATTGGGCTGGGATTTAAACATGGTTTTTTGGGGTGGTTTTTTTTTTCACTCCAAAACCAAAGCTTTTTTCAACTAGCCATACCAATCACTCCAAGATCAAAATTGAAGTTTGAATTCATATATTTTGTTCTCAGTAAGGTCACAAATTCCATCTTACCTTACTGTCCTGATAGAAGTTTAAGAATATCAAAAAGTTGCCATGATCTCTATCTTGTCATGTGGTTCCCTTTTCTCTCTGTCTTCCTCAGCCCATTCTTACCCAAGCCTACCCAAGACTCGTCAACACTCTATTTTATAAGAAGCCCTCATTTTTTGTTTTGTTTTTTTTTTTTTGAGTATCAGAAAGTTTTAGGGGACAATGCTAATGTTCGCTTTTCATTTTATTTTGTTCTCCCATCTTTGCCCAGCTTTTCCTATAGTACCTACAGCACTAGGAGACCAGGCTTCTAAGAATGTAGACCGTCCTTCCTGCTGATAAACTGCATTATAATTTTCTCCAGTTCATTCTGCATCTTGGTATATTGACTGGTGCCAAACCACAGTACTCCTATATTTTCTGCATCTGGTTATTTTGTAAGGGCCTTGGTTTTATATTCTCTTTCACTACCCAACTAGGTTGCATTAACTATAGCCCCTTCTCCTTTAATCTCAACCTCTTGCCTTCCCTGCCCCAACGCCACTATTTTCCATACATTTTTCCATATATTTCATTCACTATATTTCCCTATATTTCATTAACATTTCTATTTTCACATGTGCATTGCCCCATGGCAGTCCATTTTGCTCAATCCTCATCTTCAGATCTCCATATGCCCCCCCTCACTATTTTCTCACCCATAAGCACGAAAAAGACTTTGGATCCCACTTTTTGTTATATACACACAGTTAAGATAACCAGAAGCAATATCTCTAACCATAGGGAAATTCATGCATAATAATTGTGGGATGTTTTCAACGAATACATCTTTTACCATAATTGTTGTTGTCTTTGTACACATGTCTATAATTATATGTCTTAGGCTGGTTCACCTTCCTCCTCATGTTCTTGATTAAAATTAAAAAAACAAAAAGTCCAGTTTATAAGCATTAGTTATTGAATTGTCACCTTCTCACTCTGCTTATTGACAATAATTTGGAAATAGCAAACATTGTGTCTGATTTATTAGGCCATCCATTTACCATGGCCTGGGGCCACTTCTAAGTGATTAATGGTGTGTGAGGTTGTTGCAATATTAAAAAGATCAACCTGAACCTTAACTCTAGGCACAACAAACTCTTCAGAGGCTTACAATAATTTTGCTTATTTTTTTATTTCTAGATGTCAACGATGAAATAAACAAATCTTTATTACTCCTTAACCTTGAAATATTAATAACAGGCTTAAGTAATTTATCTAAAATTCAATACCTATAGTCATTGTGGAAATCTGTATGTCTTGTGAGATTTGTTAGCCAGTGATGAGCAGCCTGGGATACACACACACGCATGTGCTTGTATAATTCCAGCTGAGAATAAAAGAATCCTTTTTGGGGACATTTTATTTTCATGTATTATAATTCTGTGTTCTATGGGATATTTCAGAATCCTTCCTTAGTTGTATCTTTCAAATAGCAATTTATAGTCTACAACGTATTTTTAAAATTATTATATTTCACTTATTTTCTTCAAGGTAGCTAGGGCAAGTAATGTTAGAAATGGAATGAAACTGGGGAATATTAAATGATTTTCAAGGTCATCTACTGATTGGGGCCTTGAACCCAGATCCAATTCCTAGCTCATGGTTCTCTCTACCATGCTCACCTAAATATTAGACCAGACATGTAATACCTACAGTGAAAATTAAGCTTTAATCCTTTAAACAGAAACAAAATTTAATATATTCTATCATACTCTATTTGATCTGGCGTGAAGAGAGAAAGGAATATTCTGATTAATTTTACTTTCTGGTTTCCAATTTCTAAGAATTTAAAACTGGAAAAACTACATTCAACATCACGAGAGAATTTAAACTTTAATCCAAAGGGCACTTCAAAATCTTATAGTACTTTAGAGTTGTAATTTTTCCATTAATTTTTACTGTTTCACAGAGATAGTGTGAGCCAAGAGATTTGCAATGGAACAGTACATCAAAGCACCTTCTTTTCTACATGGCATGACCTCTGGCTGCATCCATGTGAATAAACCACAAAGTAGTAAGATAATTTTTTCAGAGCAGAAACGTTAGTTTTTAAAGCTTGAGACAAGATCTCCCTCTGTTGCCCAGGCTGGAGTACAGTGGTATAATCTCAGCTCACTACAGCCTCAACCACCCAGCCTCAAGTGATCCTCCCACCTCAGCCTCCTAAGTAGCTGGGACCACAAGCATACATCACCACACCTGGTTAAATTTTTTTAGTTTTGCTTTTTAATGTTTTTAAAACCATTTTTTTGTTTTGCTTTTTAATTTTTTTTGTTTGTTTTGTTTTGTTTTTTAGAGATGGGGTTTCACTGTGTTGCCCAGGCTGGTATGAAACTCGTGGCCTCAAGCAGTCCTCCTGTCTCAACCTCCCAAAGTGCTGGAATTACAAGTGTGAGCTTCCATGCCTGACCCAGAAACATTTTAAATGCTTGCACTTTTTGACGTAAAGAGTTTTTCATCGTATGAAAGGACTTCAGTTTTTCTAAGGGCTTCTCTCTCATTAAAGTAATGGTTGCAAATATTTTGAAAATACACTTTAATATACTTGAAGATGAAATGTTTATTTTAGATACCTGCAGTAATCTTCAGCTCCACTTTAAACACCAAGGCCATAAATATATTGTGCTTATCTTTGATTCTGAATGATCTTAGGTGTTCAGTGAGGAAGGTGAGAAAGATGAGGAAGATCGAAGCTAAAATGAATCATAAGAGGAATAAAGTTAACCCCCTAAAAAGTAGTTTTTATGGAGTACTGGTTTCTGATTGAGGCTGTACCTAATTACCACAGACTTGGCTTGAAACAGCATAAATATATTACCTTGCAACTTAGGAGGTCAAAGTCTGCAATGGGTCTTATGGAGGAGCTAAAATCAAGGTGTTGGAATAGCTGTGTTTCTTTGGAGGCTCTGAGGAAGAATCCCTGCCCCCACCTAGGCTAGCTTCTAGAGGCCACCTACATTCTTTGGTTCATGGCCAATCACTCCAGCCTTTTCTTCCACTATCGCATCCTTTTATCTGACTCTAAACCCCCCGACTATAATTTATAAGGACACTTGTGATTATAATGGGTCCATGCATAATCCAGGATAATCCTCCTTCCTCAAGATCCTTAACTAATTAAATCCACAAAGTCCCTTTTGCCATGTAGATCTTGGGGGTTAGAACGTGAACATCCTTGGGAGGTCATTCTGCCCACTACTGTATGCATAAAATATTGTAACTTTTAAATAAACATTGAGATAATGACATTTTTTAAAACAATAGTCTTATGTAGAATTGATTTCTTTATACGAATATTGTGATCTGTGTAGGAAGGGTATGACATGATAATACTACCTGGAAGTTGTTTTTAAAATATACTGTATATTTGATTAGTAAATCAAATATACAGTATATTTCAGCTGAAAGCAGCTCTCCAATGTGGGAGTGTGTGTTTTCCCTTACGGAGCAGCATACGGAAATTTAAATTGTGAAAAAGTGTTTTAGGCTGAATGTGCACTGCGGAATATGTTCGAAACAAAGTTTTCCATTAAAATTGGCATTTATGAGTCTCTTGCTAACAGTTACTACAATGATCAGCTGTGACCTCATTAGTAACATGAGCAGTAAGGAAGTAAACCAGTATTGTTAAACTGGTTTCCACTCTAATGGTGTTCCAGTGAATAAAGAGTTAAGGAAATGTCGTGCTATCCATATTAATTGAGATAAGGCACAGGATGATTTTGGCCTCTTGTTCCAGCACTGTCTCATACCATGTTTTTAAAGTTATTTTCTTTTTTTTTTAGATGGAGTCTCGCTCTGTCGCCCAAGCTGGAGTGCAGTGGCGCGATCTCGGCTCACTGCAAGCTCCGCCTCCCGGGTTCACGCCATTCTCCTGCCTCAGCCTCCCGAGTAGCTGGGACTACAGAGGCCCACCACCACGCCCGGCTAATTTTTTTGGATTTTTAGTAGAGACGGTGTTTCACTGTGTTAGCCAGGATGGTCTCGATCTCCTGACCTCGAGATCTACCCGCCTCGGCCTTCCAAAGTGCTGGGATTACAGGCGTGAGCCACCGCGCCCAGCCTTTAAAGTTATTTTCAATAACACCTAGCAATTAGGAAGCTTAAAATTACATGTTTTTAAGACTTGGAATCAAATAACTTCACTCTCTAAAGACTTAAGGCAATGAAAATTTTTTCGTTTTAAGTTTCACTTTCGTTCTTAATTATGACACTCTAGGAATTTCTGTATTTGTCTTTTAAGGTAATTCTACTCTTGGGTATTATAAAATGTTTGTCTTGTCTTTATGTTTGTTTCTCTTGGTTCTATAAATTGCATCCTCGAGTCCAGAAAATGCTGTGTATAAATATATATTATTTCAGTGGCGTGCTAGGGGCTGGCTTGTACCAGCTCCTGAGACTTCATTTTGTGTTCCTTTCCTCCTAGCTCTGAGTTCATTGACAATGTTGGTAGATTGAAATGGGCCGTGGTGGGAGTATTTACACCACAAAATTGGCAAGCACTCCAAATAAGGGCTTTTTCTTTCCCCGAGAGCTGATTATTAAACATTTACTAGCATTTTTCTGCATACACACGCACACACACGCGCACACACACACACACACACACACACACGAGTGCTAATTCAGTTAAGGATTTAGGCATATTCTAATTAATCATGGCTAGTCAGTAGCCAATGTGATTTCTACTAAATGATATAATATGACATATTTCGAACTGTTTAATCTTTCTCAGATCTTAATGCTGTATTATAGTTTGTTCATATCACACAATTAAAAGACAAAGATAATATAGGAAAATAAATTTCTGCTTTGCAATACATATCAATTAATATACCCAATATAATGATAGATGCATTAAGAAGGACACATCACTGATGAAATAGTCTTGCCAAACGTGTATAACTTTAGTCGAATCATGAGACGATATCAGACAAACCCAAACTGAACGTCATAGTTTAGAAAATGGGTGAAGTTTTAAGGACAAGTTACAAAACAAATCATCAGTACTCCTTAAAAAAAATCAAGGTATTGAAAGACAAGAAGGTTGAGGAAGTGTCACATACGAGGGGAGATTAAGGAAATGTGACACTAAATGCAATGTAAAAACCTGAATTAATGATCTAGAAAAGGGATATTAGTGTGAAAATGGGCAACATTTAAATAAGGCCTGTAGATTAATAAACAGTTTTGCATGAAGGTTACTTTTGTTTCAATAATTGTTCTATGTTTATGTGAAATAATAACTTTAGGAGAAGCTGGGAAAATGATGTACAAAATTTCTATACTCTTTGTAATTTTTCATCTGAAACCATCTAATACCATGACTGTGTATTGTTTAAAATGTTTTTTAAAAAGAATATGTTTTGGAAGTAGGAAACTCTGGCTTTGAATCCTGATTGTATAAAACTTGAGATTTCAAACAAAATGTTTACATTACTTTGTATTTAAATTTAAATTTACTTTTCTCATCTATGGAAGAGGTGATAATTGTGTTCATTTCACAAAACCGTAGCAATCAAATGAAATAATGTTTTCTAAACCTCCTAACACAATGCCTGACATATAGTATACGCTGAATAAATCATTGTTAAAGAAGCTTTATGATTTTGATGTTGGAGAAAACATAAAACAATTAAAATGTATTGACAGTTAGAAGGTTCTGAATGTCCTTACATTGATCGTCTGTGTCCTCAAACAGACGTGATTATGAAGAATCAAAACTAGTTTCCAAAAGAGGCAATTAAAAGCTTCCACGGGCATAAGGGCCACATTCTTGGGTCTAAAAGAAAGAGAAGAGTATGAGGAGTTATAGAGCTAGATTAAACTGGCCCAATGTAGTATAAGCTGTACTTTAGGATCTGATCCTGTAAACACAGTGTCATGGCCTGGCCATTAAACCCTGGAGGCATAGATTTCATGATTTCTGCATTGGATAATAACACAGTTGCCTGCCAACTCCTGTGCAATCTCCCAGCATTGTACAAGCATATCTTCCTGCATAAATGCCCAATATATGGCAGCTTAATTTTAATCATGTATATTTAGAAGTGTGTTGTGCTTCTAGATTTACCAGAAATTTTCCTTGGTGACAAATACATACTTCCTAATAAGTTTTGACCCTGTGGGCTAAAGGCAAAATGTTCAAAGTAATGCTACCCCAAGACCTGTGCTCCCACTTGCTTTATCTGTATGTATGTACATATATGTGTACATATGCACATAGAAAACATTTATACATACATGTATTTTATATAGAATACTTCTTAGTTTGGTTCAAACATAAGCAGCCAGAGTCACTTTAAATGCTAATGAACACCATCATCAATGCATATGTCAAAACTATGTCATAAGTAATAAAAATTAATTTAAATAATTAAGAAAGGTAACCTTTGCTTTGTTATGCTAAGCTCTCAGTATTCATTTTTCCTTATTTGGATTGATCACAACTTCCAAATATTACGACCAATGAACTTGAAGAGGTACATTGCTCTTGAAATGTGTGTAAATTATTTTAATAAAAATTTCACCTGCAGACAAAACCATCTACTTCCATTCTCTGCAACCTCATTCTTAAAGCAAAATTTATATCACTTAGATACTAATCTAATGACAGGACAATAACCAAATGGCCCAACAACATCAGTAATATGAAAATTTAAAATCATGAATAATCTTTTCATAATTGCCAGGAGGAACTCAATGAATTGTCTTAATTGTATCAGAAAGCCTCATGCATGTGGTTAGATCTAAAAACACAGGTTTCTGAATATCAGTTGAAAATATTTTTACCAGGCCATTTGCTACCCAGGCTTGTAGAAAGCATTCTGTAATGGGAGCAACCGCAGATTCTAAGAACAGTTTCCAGCTAGAGTCCAGTCGGCTATTCATCTTTGTGGCTAGGAAGGAAAGAAAATTCTCAAGTACCTTCAGGGGTTTTATAGATACTCTTGCTTCAACTCAGTATTTCTGGTCTTCATAAAACAAGAGTGCCAAGGATGACATAGTGAAGCAGTCAGTTTATTCCAAATGCTGAAGTGCTTACTCTACCTTGCATTTTACAAGTTTACAATTTTGGAGCCATTTGAACCACTCATTGGCTCAGTGGTGCAATATTTTTTTAAAGTTATTTCTGACCATAACAGACACTTTAGACCTGCAGTGATGAGCAAGCCCCAGAGGCAAAATACAATAAAGATTTAAGGGCTGTTCAGTGAAGCACTGTGGCTTCTTTGTGAAGGAGTTGAATGGAAGTGGGAGGGCTGGCCTGCTATGTGATTATTTCTGACAATGCTGTTTGTTTTATTTTCATTTTATTGCAGTACTTTGGGGCATTGGTAGGTATGATCCAAAAGAAAAATAAGCTTTCATCTAAGATGTTAAAGTTTTTTGGGGGAAGGACGGGTGGTGAGGGGGGGCGCTGTTCTTTTTTGATCTAATAAATGCTGTTTGAAGCAGATGAGATATTCAGAAATGAAACTCAAATTACCTCCACCATGCTTCATACCAGTCGCTTGTGATTGACTTTCTGTCCATATGAAAAAAGATGAGACACACTTAATTCTAGATTTTAATTATTTTAGCTAAATAAAGCCCAGTATATTCCATTCTTTATTTTATGTGATAAACTGTAATCTATTTCTTATCATAAAATCTGAATTTACTACAATGTTATTAGAGGTATGTTTGCTGTCTCTGAAGACGTCCATAATAGGAAGCTAGTGCTACCTGTGTTGGTATTACACTTCACTAAATATATAAACTGAATTATTAACAATTCAGATTAGCTTTCATTTGAGAACCATAGAGTTTTAGTGGGTCTCAGGCTTAGCCAGATATTATTTTATGGATATGTTTCACAGATCCCTTTCCTAGCGAAAACAATCAGTGTGAATGTTCTTATACTCTTCACTCAAGAGTAATAGTTGCGAAAAAGAAAATAAATAATATTTTTATATTATACATACATATGCTATAATATATAGCTTTTTGTAAACATAAATACATTATATATGCACACATACATACTGGATGATGTATTTATTCAAATGTGTATAGATACATATACATATACCCTTTCATCACATTTATTGACGAGCACATGGACCGTGACACCATGACAATTGTCTGTCCATATCAGAATCCTGAAGAATTTGCTAACGTGACAACTCACTGGCAAAGAACTGAAGGAGCTCTAAAATCACTCAGGAACCTTTGTCCATCACTTTCCTCTAATGCTTCAACCTTCCCTTATCTCCTAGCTTCTTCCTCTTGTTAGCCCAGAGGAATACTCAAGTCTAGCCTGCCTGTCTTTGAAAAAAGAAATGTATTTTCTTCTTGACACATTGGTGTCCTACTAATCTCAAGGATTTCTCAAATATTTTTATTTGCCTTATAATCAAGCTTCTGGAAAGAATAGTCTACATCTGCTAATTTCTTGCCACCTTTTCACTCAATTCCCTATAAACTGATTTCTGCTTCTACCAATCATTTGAAACTATCTAATTTTCAGGCTAATTTTCAAACTGGCTTCTGGCATCACTCATCTACTAATGACTCCCAAAGGACCTCACTTGATAAATCCACAGGTCAATAATTTTTCATCTTTCTTAACCTATCAGCATTTGACAAAGAACCACTTCCTCTTTCTTGGAATACTTCCCTCTGTTTTGGGAGGTTATACTCTCCTGGGTTTCCTCCCACTGCTTTAGTTGTTTCTTCTCAGCCTCCTTTCCAGGTCCTTTTTCACCTCCCAGCTTTCTTAACTGTTAAGCGTCTGAGGGCTCACTCAGTGAACTTTGTCTCTTTCATATCAACTCTACTTTTGGGGATCTCGTTCTATAACAATGATTAAGTATCACCTAAACACTGTTATCTGAACTCTAGACTCATATGCCAACTATTACAGATATTGGACTCCACTTGAGTCCAATATTGATCTCAGTCTCACATTTTCAAAACAAGTTTCTTTTCTGTTGTTGTTGACAATTTTTTTTTAAATTTCAACAGTTTTTTGGAAACAGGTGGTTTTTGGTTACATAGGTAAGTTCTTTAGTGGTGATTTCTGAGATTTTGGTGCACCTGTCACCCGAGCAGTGTAACCTGTACCCAATGTGTAGTCTTTTATCACTCACCCCCTCACACCCTTCTCCCTGAGTCCCCAAAGTCCATTATATCATTCCTATGCTTTGGGGCCCTCATAGCTTAGGTCCCATTTATGAGAACACATGATGTCAAAACCAAGTTTCTTATCTTCTTAAACCCCTCACTCCATCTCAGTTAGTAAAAACTCTAGCTTTCCATTTGCTCCATGCCAAAAACCTTGGAGTCATTGTCACCTCTTTCATTGTGGTCGCATGCCACATCTAATTCATTAGCAAATTTTGTCGGTTCTTCTTCAAATACATCTTGAATCTAATCGCTTCTTCCTTCTTCTACCTGTACTACCTTGTTCAACCACCATCATCTCTCTCCAGGATTATCAGGATGGCCTCCCCACTGATTTTTCTACTTCTGTCCTTTCCTCATTCAGTCTATTCCAACATGGCCTACAACATGATCCAGCAAAAATATAAGAGATCATATTATACCTCTGCTCAAAACTCTATAATGGTTTCCCATCTCAGTCAGAATCAAAGCCAAAGCATTCACAATAGCCAACAAGGCCCTGGATGATCTGGCTCACTCTTCACGTCCTGCTAATTTCTTCCTCATTCTGCTCTAACCTCACTGCTCTTCTTCCCTTTCTCAAACGTGCCAGGCATTTTCCAGCTTCAGGGCCTTTTCACATGCTGTTCATTCCTTCTACCACACTTTTCCTTAGATATTCACATGACTCACTTTATCTTCTTTATACAAGTGTCGTCTCATTAAGGCCTTTACAGGCCACCAATTCAAAACTGTAGTGCCACCATCCCTGTCATCTGCTTCAGTTTCTCAATAACACTGACAACCATTCATACTTTTAATATTTTAAATGATCACCTGTTTAATATATTCTACCCCGCCTTACACTATCACCACTGGAATACAAACTCCGTGAGCACAAGGATTTGGATCTGTGTTCTGTGTCTACTGATGCAACCTCTAGAACAGTTTGAGTGCCTGGAAAATAAATGAATAAGCAAATAAGGAATTAAATCTACATTTCTCAGACACATAATTTTAACTAGACATTTGATATCTCATATGGCTGCCCACTGCTGTCTGAGAGAGAGATCCACAGCCAAACTCACCATTTCACTCACAAGCTCAAACCCCAGTTCTACAAATTATCTGTTAAGAAAGTGCACTGGGTCCTTGCTATCTTTTCCTATGAAATAGGGATAAAATTCCCTACTCTCAACATTTGTTCTTTCCCTGACTTCAATCTCTGCTTTGCTTTTTATTCCACCTACATAAGTACTCATTTGCAGTCTCTTGCTGGATGGTATTCCTCTTCTGAATGTCCATTATATGACAATATTTCCTGCTTATCCTTGTAAGCTGTGTTCAGACCTCTCCTCCATAGTCCTTCACTGCTGACTCCCCTTACCCTACTGCTCCACTCCCACATATCTTGCTACAGACTGAATGTTTCTGTCTCCCCAAAATTCATGTTAAAACCTTAATTCCCAGTGTGATGGTATTTGGAAATGGAGCCTGTGGGAGGTAATTAGAATCAGATAAGGTCATGATGGTGGAGCCCCGGTGATGGAATTAGATCCCTGATAAGGCAGTGCGAGGAACAGAGCTCTTTCTCTCTGCTGTGTGTTGATTCAGAGAGCAGACAGCCATCTGTGAACCAGGAGGAGGGCCCTAACCAAGAACTCAATCATGCTGACATGCTCATCGCAGACTTCAGCCTCCAGAACTGTGAGAAATAAATGTCTCTTGTTCAAGCCATCCTGTCTATGGTATTCTGTTACAGTAACTCAAACTGACTAAGGCATATCCGCACACGCCAGCTCAGCACCCTGGCCAGGCACTAACATTGTACTTACCACATTGTATTAAGAACATCTTTTACTGCTCAATTTCCCCTATAGAATATAAAATGCCCAAGGACAGGAGGCACATCTTTTAATCTTAATCTTTGGAGTCCCAGGGTCCTGGCAGAGGAACAGACCCATGTTAGGTGCTCAACAAATTATTACTGAACGATGAATGAATGCATGAATGGATGAATGAATAAACGAAGTAATATCACAAAGAATATTGGAAGTAATGACAATGTTTTCTTACATACTTTGAGTTTTGCATATTTTTACTGGAGCACTTAATAATATAGCTTACAGATGAAAAGTCACAGATTTGTGATCACTTAAAACATGTCTCCACTACTAAGCTAGTGAGAAAGCAAATAAACTAACTTAGTTTGACCTGAAATTATCCAGTGAAACTCTTATGTCAATATTTTGCAACTTTTTGGATAAAGTGGCCTCATGACTGTCACAGAAAATTGATAGTGAATGTAAAAATATAATGCAGGAAAAATTGTCGTCTCTTGTGTTTCTGCTGTAAAGAGAGTTTAAGGAGGTCTTGGACCCTGGCCAATGGCTGTAGAATTATTTACTTTCCCCCATTTGCTTTTCTTCCCTCTATATTTCACTTGACAAAGCCCAATGTTTAATCACATTACCTTCATTAACTGTATTTTCATTAAAATGACAGAGTTGAAAAGAGATAATAGTCTTAGAAATATGCTGCTCTTCCATAATCCATATTGCCACCTGTGGAAATCTTACAGGAAAGCTATTAAGAATGGAGTCTGATGCTGTGGCAGTAAAACTCACGGTATGTACTTATTAGGTTTGTTCTTTATGTTGCCTTCGAAAACTATATTCTGTTCTTTGAATATTACCATTAACTTTCATAATGTGCAGCCTTCATGTATATATGGTTTTAAAGAGTAACATAAAAATATAGATGTATAAATCAAGGACAAAAAAGTTAATTGGAATTCCATTATTAAAAAAGAAGATAAAAAGATAGCTCCCCCATTATTTTATATAAATAGCATACCAATATGATTTAGGGAAAGCTTACATTTATTGACCATGCTTATCACTGTATTAATAAGTATACTGTGATTATACATTTCTCCCTCCATGGTGTTAGATGCAGAGGTTTTGCCTTGACTTCATTCATTGGCTTTGGGTTTTTTGTTTAGTTGAATTTAAGAGACTCCTTTGAGGAAGAACGCTTAAACAACAAATTTGATGTTTATGTATTGCTTTGAAATATTGAGATTAAGTTGCCTTAAGAATCTGAAGATGTCCTCTAACTTTTGTCTGTATCATGTAAAAAATGAGTTGGATGAAAAATAAAGAAACTATAATGTGCCATTTATATAATGATAAGAATTATTTCCAAAGATGATTCTTCTAATTTTTGAGTGGCATTAGCTGTCTAGGCAAGGCCAAGGGCATTAATTATAGAGAAGATGCTAGGGTGGAATACTTATGTACCTTTCATTGTTATAGAACTTCATTTGGGAGTTAATATCAGTGCTGTCTCCAATACCATTCATCTGACACTTGGTAAATGAGTTGTCAGTAAAGAAGAAAATATATTAATAGTTCAGATCAGTTGAAATGGGTGCTCTTATGTGTTTTACCAGAAAATTCCCCCTTCAGTTAACTCAATATCTTTTCTGACACATTTTTGTTGCACTAAAGTGTCTTTTATGGTGTGTCAGAGTTATGAATACTGATAGACCTTCTCTTAAAGTGCCCCTCAAGTTCACTGCCATTTGCTCATTAGGTTTGCTTTTTATTGCATGTCAGAATGTGCCTCCTTTTACGCACCTACTAATAAATGGGAATTGATGAGAACTGTGTCTCCAGAGCAGGCGGTAAATTCAAAGGTCTTAAATGAGGAAGTCTGTGAAGCATCCAAGACCGGGGCATGTGCCTGTGGATCTTGATCTGGCATATGGGGCATAGCTTATTTGATGTTAAGATTGAAGAGGCACACTTTCCTAAGCAGTACTTGAAGTTCAGAAATGGAAACAGTCCATTTCCCCATTGATCAAAGGACAGAAAAAGCTATCTTTTTAGAGATGTCTCCAGACTCATTTTCAATTGAAATTTATTTATGTAAGTCACACAAATAGTAGCTTTGCAGGAAGTGTTAGTATACTATTTAGAACTCTACCATAAAATTTGTAAGGTGAAGGGGTCAGAGGTAGATGAAGATGTAGCAACAAAGAAAACGATGGTGGTTACTACCTAGCAGTGGAGTCAGGGGACTGGTATGTATAATCACTGGGTCATTTGCAGAATGTGAAGATGAAACTATAGCTGAGGAGGCAAAGGGATGGGAGAAGAGAGCAATGCCTCTGTGTCAGGTAGAGTTCTCTGTTTGGCTGAGCACAGTCTGGAAACCCAACCCTGTGCTGCCAAGCTCTGGGAATCATCTGACCACCATCAGCATCTTCAGAAGGCAGCTCTTTAGTTCATGGAGATTTGCTGAAATGGCCTTGGTAAGCACCTATGATCATGGGAAAATATGTGAATTAGGTTTGCTGATGAAATGAGATATAGAAAGACACGTGTTATATGAGTTTCAACTGTGGCAAGGAATAGCTTGCTGACTCAAAAAGAAGGCAGAAAATCAATCAGCCAGAAAGTCGCAACTACCCAACAACGATCCACTAGAAAGAGAAGGGAACCCAGAACCCTTTCAGAAATTTCAAATTAGTGTTTCTCAATTATTTGTCTATTACTTTTATGGTTTGGTTCATATCCACAAAGTATTATTAATTTAACATTTTTATTTAAATTAGCCTTACCCTGTATAACAATATATGTGATATACTAGTTTTATATTTTCTAATATATACTAAAATAAACACATAACTATGAAAATTAAAAATTTAGTAACCCCTGGTCTACCTTAAATCTTCTCATGTTCTGCCACTGGGACAACTTCTGTGCTTTGGGGACGCTACGCTAAATGAAAAGAGCAAAATGTCTCTCACATATTTTGGAGAGGACCAGACCAGCAGGTTCTGGGGAAGGGATTTAATATTATTTGTTTGTAGTTTAGACCCTGCCTGCTTCCAAGAAGATTTAGAAATTATCACATGTATACAATAAGGCTGTTAAAGTAAAAAATGTATAAATATCAGAACCCTGCAGAAGAGGAAGCAAATATAATGTCCCTCCAGGCTGAAATAGTTACCAGGTTGAGTATTAAATTTAGCTCTGTGCTTTCTGGAAAGGTCAACATTATATCTAACTTGCTCTTGGGCTTTATGACCTCTGTTGAGCCTTGTTACCTAAGGGAGATACCCATATGGAAAAACACAGCATTCTTTTTCTATGTTAAGAAGTGTTGAAGTTTCCTAGAATTTCTGTTGAAAATTCCACATACCCAGACATCAGTTTCAAACCTGACAGGTTTTGCTAATAGGAAGAGTGGGAGAGCTGGATCTGTCAAGGTAAGCAGTACGTATGAGAGTCAGTGAGGCTTGAAGTAGAGGCTTGCTTGGCAGAGGTGAGAGTGCATCTGAGGCTCGATGTCATGAATCTGTGGGCAGTCACAACTGCTAACTCCTGTCTAGTGCTGTGTTCCAGTTGTCTACTGCTGTCTAACAAACCACCTTAAAACTTCAGGCAATTAAGACAAAACTTATTTAATATTTCTTAAGGCCAGGGGGTTGATTGTGCCCAACTGGTTGGTTTTCACCTGAGGTCTCTCAAGCACTTACAGGCAGCTGTCATCTAGGCCTGCAGTCACCCAAAAGCTCAGCTGGGCTAGAAGTTCAATATGGTACGCTTACATGTCTGGTAGTTGATACTAGCTGTCAGTTTTTGAAAGCTTAGCTAGGCTGGAGCAGCTAATCACGGCTTTGTTGTATGGTTCCTGCTTCTCACTGCAGAGACTGGGTTCTTGGAAGAAATGTCCTATGAGCAAATATTCCAAAATGTAGGGATCAGGAGTTGCTGGGCTACTTAAGGGCCATATGCAGAACCTCAGTTGTATATTATTGAATAGAGCAATCACATGGCCTACTCAGATTCAAAGTGGTTGGAAAAATAAACTTCTAATGGTGTAAGGACAAAATCACAATGAAGAAGAGTGTGTAAAGTAGCAAATTATATTGTGACCATCTTTGGAAAATATGATCTATCACATCCTCCAAGAGCTCTCTGTACTCTGGAATCAAAGCAGATATAAAGAATACAAATAAGTATTTTGGGAATATTATTTAAGGCATGGTATAAAGTTATGTAAGCACTGAACTGTAAGATGTAGTGACTTTGACATGTAAAGAAATTGATTATTTAATTGTGAGGACAGGAAAGAGCTCTAGACCAAAATTCTCCTTCTGGCTGTATATTTTATTAGCTATGTAGCCTTGGGATAGTAACTGGGCCTTCTAACTGTGTCTATATAACAAGAGGTCTGGATTGGATAATCTGTAAGAGACATTATCATTCTTAATAACTAGGAAACCATGGGCTTGATGCCTATTTGCTTACTGCGGGTCAGGGAGAATAATATGGTGAATGAATTGCTTATAAATCAAAATAACACATTTTGAACAGGGTTTGCTTTTCTGGGAATCAATAATTGACATTAAATACTGTAGAGAAAGTTATTGATGACATTGATTGTTAGATTAGTCCTTTGGCTCTAGAGTCAAAGGAAGGCATTTCCTAATGATCTTCTATAATATACAAACTTTAAGTTTCTTTTCTATGTATTTCACTCTAATGTGAACTCAAATAATCTCTGACCTGCTAACAGATGTGGAAGCTGACAAATTTATTTGTAAGCAGAATAATTACCTCTTAATATTGATTTGTAAATCCATGTTGCCATTCATTGAATTTCTCCAAGTAGAAACAAGATATATCCAGGTCTACGACTGTGGATGGCTACATGTGGATCCCTACTTAATATTGAATGAGACAATGCATATCTGTCACAAGGTAATATATGATAGCTGTATCTAATTGCATATAAAAGAGGACCAAGCCAATTGACATCTCTCTGCTCTCAAGAAAACAATGTGAGCAGGACATAGATGTGTCTTGTGTTCCACACAGGGGGATTTTGGAGTTGTGGTAAATGAGATGGATTCTCTCCAGCGAACAAACCAAGAAAGGGTTGGAAAACAATATAAAATGGTCAGACATCTTCTGGATAGAGATTGTAGCGGAGTTTAGCATAGGATATGAGCCTTGCTAGGTTTTTCTATAATGACAAGTTTAAACAGGACCAATTTGCATTTTTATAAACAGCAATCACTTCCTAGAATTCTAGGGTTTCCCAAATCAAACTCCTGAATGTCAGTCTCTCCCACTTCAGTCATGGGTAACTGCCCTCTCTCTGAGCATTACCCCTCATTTATCTTAAGGAAAATGATAGACCAGTTTGTAGCATATCCTAAATTCTCTACTTAAATTGTGCTGCAATAGACACACAATGAGACACCATCAACTAAGCAACCACTGAATGACTATTACATACAAGACACTGTATTGGAGGCTATCAAAGGGTATATTCATTCATTCATTCTTCTTCTTTTTTTTTTTTTTTGCTTATTCCATGAACATTTCTGAGTGCCTACTTAATGACAGGCTCTGTCTGTTGTGAGAAAAGATTGTAGTTGTCTATCTAACAACCATACATCCTACTCCCTCACATACACACTATTCCACAGAGGCAACCTGGTATTCATCTTAAAGGCAACAACTCTGGGGCCAGATCACCTGAGTTACAACCCTGCTGTCACTACTGAATAACAGTGTGACCTTAATTAATTAATTAATTAATTAATTAATTAATTTATTTATTTAATACAAGGTTATCTTGCTGTCTCACCAAGGGTGAAGTGCTTTGGCATGTCCATAGCTCACTGCACCCTCAAACTCTTGGGTTCGAAGGATCCTCCAGGTTCAGCCTCTTGAGTAGCTAGAACTACAGGTCCACACAATCACACCTGGTTAATTTTTAATTTTTTTTGTAGATATGGGGTTTCACTATGTTGCCCAGGATGGACTCAAACTCCTGGCCTCAACCCATCTTCCCACCACTGCCTCCCAAAGTACTGGGATTATAGGCATGAGCCGCTGTGCCTGGCCCTTAAGTTACTTAATATCTTGATAAGTTATAGATAATAACCACCTCATATAATTTTTGTATTAAATGATTTAATACACATTTCTATATCTCTTTATGTATGTTTAATAACTCTTAGAATAGTGCCTCCCTTGTTGTAAGTGCTGTGTAAGAGTTGATTTTGTTCAAGTCTTGGTAGGCCATATCCTTCAAAGGAGACTAAGTCCCTTCTCAGCTGAAGGTGCATATCAACTCTGGTTGAAATGACTCATGTAAATTCCATTCTCTTGTCCATGATGTAATGTCATTCTGTCCAGTAAAATGTGAGGGGAAGTCTGGGGTGGATTTCTAGTACAGTTTTTCTGACTTTTATGAAAGAACATAAGGAAGAGATGGTCTATCTTCTCACCTCTGGAAGTTATTGTTGAGGATATAAGGTTGGAGTAACTTGGGGATGTGAGGGGCCACGTAAGGACAAACACGAACATTCCAAAGATGGCAGAACAAAATGTGGAAATGAAATGGATCCCTGAGCCATTCATTGAGCCCTTGAAGTCAGTGATCTTGGAACATACAACAGGACTTGTCAGACAATAAAGATAACAAAGCCCTCATTGTATGAGTCATTTTGCTTGTTTTCTGTTACTTGCTGGTGAGGTCATCAGGTGAACTGACACATCGTTCTTCCCTGATCATGAGGATTCATGGTATCATTAAAATTTCTTTTTTATTTAAACAAATATGAGAAACGAAACACGCTCAGACTTTCTAGTAAGGAAAAACAAAAGCCCACCTCAGAGGACGAATAAGCAAGCCATTTACCCTAATTCAGGTGTGTGGTATTTATTTTAATATGTATAAAAATTACAATAGATACAAGTGTAAAATGGTGTGAGATTGATTTCATCAGTCTTGTCACATAAGAAGAATAAACCTCTGGGTCACTCTCCGCTGCACGATGGCATAATAAATAAGGAAAACATGGTCATGACTCCTTCTCTATGAGAGATGCGATAGTTGATTAAGTGCAATCTATTAGTAGCTGCCAGTAACAAGAAAGGTTAATTTAAACCAGATAGTCTCAGGTTTCAACCTCTTCTATGGCTGCAAATCTGGATAGGTGTCCTTTGCTTACTGGTTCAAGCTACTGACAGGCAGACCTGAAATGGTTTTGGCTTCTGTCTGTGGCCCCAGAGCCAGGCAATCCAATAACAGTCTTTTCCCTTTAACTCTCAAACATAGGGATGATAGTGGCTTTTTGCTACTGTAATGTCTGGGTTGCCTTATTATCATTTGTTTGGCTTCTCAGCACCTCCCTCTATTAAAATTCCTCCTATCTGGAGTGACTATTGTTGTCCTGATTGATACGCTATCCTTGGTTTTATTCTGAACTATGGAAATCATAGACATTAGTTGTAACATCCAAGACTCAACCTTGACTTCTCCCAGTGATCCTACCTTTCCAATCATTGGTGATCATACCATCTTCAGTTGTATTTCAGAGGGGACTTACATGCCCCTGATTGCATGTATTCCCCAGACAAGGTCAACCTGGTTGAAACACAGCCTCAGTCTAGTATATCAATGTGTAATTAGTTCATTGTTTCATTTGACCTATGAATAACTATGACCAAGAGGGTATCAGAATTTATACAAAGCCATGTTATTATGGAATTCTAATATAGTTTGCTTTGCTATATATGATGGTGTTTTCATGAGGAGACTTTCATATATAAATAATAGAGAAAACTTGTAACATGGACTGTCCCACATAAGCAAAGCCACAACAAAAAACACATGAAAAGAACTATTGAAGGGCGAATGGTGGGTAATAAAGTAATGGAAATTATGCAATAAGACACTAGAGAGCCAGATAAATCTAAATCTCTAACAAGTCATGCAGGGTCTTAAGGTTGCAGCCCATGGCAGTGGAGAATTTTTGGGTGGACCTCACTCTGCTGTGCCTGCAGAGGGGTTGCCCTGGCTTTCTATCTTCCTTACTGAGAAGAATTTTCAGCAGTTCAATAGAAAACATTTACTGGGGAAAGGTGATATTTTACATAATGATTTTCCTGCCTTTGATTCCGCACATGTTGTTTTGTCTTTGAAATGTGCTAAAAGATGTATGTAAGCTGTCTGGCACTTTGTGCTTTTACAACCTGTGTTGTTTCAAATCCACAGCAAGGCAATTTTAAGTATTTGGGGTAGCACTTTCTTATGTCTGTTCTTTCTTTCTCCAGGCAGATGAGCTCATCAGACACTATTAGCCCTAGCTATAGAAGTTTAGAGGTAAACCACTGTCTGAACTGAACTAGTAAAACTGCTCTAAGCTGCAGTTTCCCTGAAAGTAAAGTATTAACTATCTATCATGTACTATGATGGATGAAGCCCATTAGATAAAGAAAAAGTCTGTTTTATTGGTTGAAAAATAATTAATCTTTACGAAGGTGATAAGCCTCATTTTACTCTTCATATTTGGAAGGATCTCGTGTCTTGAGCTTTGGCATGAGCATGCTGAGATGGCTGAGTGCAAGAACCACAGATGCTTAAGAGGATATGATGGAAACTTCTAGGTTTGTTACTAAACCAATTCTCTAACTTTTAAAGTGACACAATAAGAATAACGGGGTTAAGATGTGTTCTGAATTTTCTGTAGGAACATGTACACAAAATCAGATTCTGCTCTACAATGTAACAATTTTAGCAACTTCTTGAAATACCTCTATTTGTACCATTATGGTTTGGTACCCAAGTTAAAAGTCTCTGCATATCAGAAGGATGTCACTTATGGGAAAGAAGAAAGAAAAGTTTACTTTCTAGAGTATATTATTTTGGAAACACAATGTATTGTTTACGTGTAATAAAAATATAATGGTAACATTCAAACATGTTCATATCACCTCGTTGTATTTTTAAACTATAATTTTTGGCAATCATCAAGGAAGAAGAGACAATAGGGTGCATTTTAATTACAAAACAAACAAAACAATTCTCCCAGGCATTTCTGATGCAAAAGAGTTTGAGGATGTATGTCTTGGCAGGTCCAAAAATCAAAATGCAATTATTCTTTATATTTGGTTTTGTATTTTACCAGTGATAATGTAACAATTTTACCCACATATAGAACATAAGTAAATTATGCTACAGGTCTTGCAAAGCAGTACATTATTTTGCATCCACAGAGCTAGGTTCACACAACTTCTGCTTACTAGTTGTGTGACTTCTAATAAATATTTAATCTCTATGACTACCTTTTCATCTGAACAATGGAGATAATACCTATCTCGTAAGATTGTTTGAGTAGTCAAATGAGATAATGTAAGGAAAATGATAACTCACAGTTAATGCTTACTTACAATTCTCATCTAGATGTAATTTCCCTTTTTTTATCTTAATACAGAAATCTGAACACTATGGTTTAAACAATGTTCTCTGAAACATATAATTGCAAAAAGTAAAATCAAGGGTACCACCAGCCTAGAAATTAAGGATTTGGTAATTATTCCTTCTCCTGCCCTAATCATTCAGTTATTGCATTACACAAAACTTCCCAAATGTCCTACATGTCCATGATTACAACTTCCTTAGGACTTTTATTAACAAAGGTAGTGCACAGAACAATGCTAATTTTAATGTTCAACCAAGGCAGTAACCAAAAAACAGAATTCCTATTCCTTTGTTTCCTGGACATTATGTCCTGTAGTAACATAAAATGTCATCATATAGGTAATTGCCTATCCAGCTCTGCATAAGACTGGCTTTGAACCTGTGTAAGTGTATACAACTAAATTTGTCTAATCCTTCCTGATCTTGCTCTGATAGGCTGAAACCAGGTTGACCGTGCATGTGTGAATGGCTATACCGTATTGTGCCTTAGGGCACTGTGGTGGAGGTTGCTTGTACATAAAGAAAGGAATTACCTGAAATAGTGCAAATGGATTGTGAAAAATATTGGAATCACAAGATTTCAAACCCTTACTCATTTATTTACACAGCCAAAATCATAGATATTTGTTATTTCTAAAATAAGTAATGAGCAGACAGATGAAGAGAGGGGACTTCTAGAATATTTCTATACTTTTCTGAGCTTACTAATACAAATATCCTGGCCTTCTCATCTATAAATACCATCTTGCAGAAGTTCCATCTCTCTCCTGAGCTATAACTAAAAATTATAAAAGTTGTCATTGAGGCTTCCAACTTTGCCTGTCACCCTTTGGTTTCGTTATTCTTTTTGCTGTCTTAAGTTTCACGGGTAAAATAGAAAGATGCATCTCTAGAGCTTTTGATCTTAAAATTCCAAGGAAATACTAGTAAATTGCTTTATCATTTTGGGGGAATAGTAATACCACTGATGTAGTAACCATGAATAGAATAATTTATGACAAATATTGTCGATAATAAGAAATTTTAAGTTTACTCCTCCACAATATCTCATCCTGATGTGGTATCTTCATGATGACAATATTAATAATACATAAACATTTTTACTTTGTTTTGCTGATATATTTATATATAAATGTATGTATGTATGTAGTTATGCTTTACTAAGGAGAGGGGCAGGGGATATATGAGAAGAGAATCTGCTAATCAAAGGGCTCTACGTGATACCAAGTTAACAGTCTACCTGGTCTTCCCTATCTACTCCCCATACTCCAACTTAACTAGTTGCCATGACATTGGTAGACAAAACTCAAGATAATCATAGGCTCCCTACTGGTCTGCCACTATGATGTGTTTAGAATTCAAGTCTTCCCAGATCCTGTTTAGCAGCCCAAATAAAACAGCAACAATAATAAAGGAAGTTCTACTGCTTTAAAAAAAAATACAGTGAAATGTAAATAAATTGTTAAAATAACTATTTTTCTAACAGAAACCTATAATAGAGAAGAGTCTGAGTCAGGGCAGCTGCATTAACATTAACACAATTAAGAGCCAAGCAATTACACACACATGGCCTACCAGCCTACCTGCTGTTTGCTGACCCTGCATAGGAGACACATATGTGTCACAACTGTAGCCAGATCAGAGTTGAAGGCAGAGCCCTGAAATTCACATTTTGTTAAAAAGGGGTGTTTTCTGAAGCATATTTACATCTCAGGCTTACATCATGTCTTTACATTTTATAAGGCATAATTTGAAATTTTCTGGCCCACTCAGATGGGAGCCAGAAGACAATGGAAGTATTCATTACTTTTGGCATGATTCTGTCTGTTCCTAGAAGAATCTTAAACTGTCATTGACCTCAATACATTTTTCAGCTTAAACCCCCATACATCTATGTAAGTCAATGTGTTCTTTTTGTATTTTTGCATTCTACTCCAAACTCAGCCACAAAAGTAAACTTTTGGCAAAAATGATTTAGGTTCAGTAAAATACCAAATAGGATTTGCCAAAAGTTAATGTCTCTTATATTTTAAGCCTCTGCCTATTCTGGGCAAAAGGCAACCCACATGTCTCTAATTCATTTATACTAAATGAGGTGAAATATTTTGTCAGTAGTCCGCTGTCTAAAGACGTTTTTGAGGTTATTGAATTAAGTTTCTTTTCCCCTTGTCTTCATGTCCCCATTGATCTGAATCCAAATACTTACTTTATAACTAGTGAAGCTCAAATAGTAAGTGATTCTTTTCAGCTTAAAGCCTAGTAACATGTGTACTCTTGTTTCTCACTCTTTATCAAAGTATTTATGACCTGATTATTTATTTGAATATAGTCTTCAAATACTTAACAAAATCTTACTAAATTATACAGTTTTCTTTGATGCTAAAACAGAAAAAAGAAACCTGAATATAAAAAAGCATGTCCCAGCTTGTATCAGAATAAAGATTAAATAATCATCTTCTTGTTCTTTTCACTATTTGACTCTACTTTAAATAAATTAATGTAGATTAACAGTCTCTTTTTCTGTTAGCAGCATCCAAAACCATGATGTGTCTTTTCCCATATTAAATATTAATACATAGATTTAATATGGAAAAGTTGGCTTTTTCTGACCACTCCTTCAACCACAATCATACATATCCAGTCCCTACTTACAATTTATGATTTTTCTTTGAAAATAATTGAACACTTCTGTTGCAATCCTGTTCCAGTATTGCAAAAAATAAAAATTTAAAAATGTAAATTCCACTGAAGGTCAGATATGCTGATAACAGTCTGCAGCCTGATACACTTGAAAATACTGCGCGACATGCAAAGGAAATTTCATGAAATGATAACCCATAAAAGAGTTATGTGAAGAACAGCCATGGACGTATAGAGTCAGGGCACTAAAGCATGGTGACAGAGACTGTTTTCCAAAGAAATAGTTTTCCTAACCTCAATCTTTATGTCAAATTGACTGAACCCATGTCAGAAAAAACTTTTCTCTAAACTGAATTGCTCATATTGTTGCTTAAATCTATTTTACCTCATCAAGTCATCTGTAAACATTCAGTCAGCTGGATCCCAAGCTCTCCTATAGTAACATGTTATGTTCCTGAAAATTATCAATGGGCTTGGGAAGGGTATGAAGAAATGAGACACTGATAACTGCGCTTCATGATGGAACTGACTAGAGAACGGAGCACAGTTTATTGGGCAGTTACATGGATATTGAAGCCAGGGGGCTGCGGTTTAAAACCTCACTCTGCTATCTACCCACATATTCTCTTTGGATACGTAACCTAACCTCTCTGTGCCTTCGTTTACTCAAATAAAAGAAAGGCTACAATGGAAGTTATTTTATATAACTATCATAGAATTAAATAAGCTAACACTCGTAAAGCAAATGTAGCCCACTCCCCCCCCCCCCCCACTGCCACCTTACAAATAGCTCATTCATTCCTTTTTTTTTTTTTTTTTTTTTTTTTGAGATGGAGTCTCGCTCTGTCGCCCAGGCTGGAGTGCAGTGGCGCCATCTTGGCTCACTGCAAGCTCCACCTCCCGGGTTCACACCATTTTCCTGCCTCAGCCTCCCCAGTAGCTGGGAATACAGGCGCCCGCCACCACGCCTGGCTAATTTTTTGTGTTTTTAATAGAGACGGGGTTTCACATTCATTTCTATCTCTTTGTCTTTCTAGAGCCCACTGCCTGTGTCTTTGTCAAAACCTGCCCAACTAAAGCATTAAAACCAGGCTACCTATCTACCTCCTCCTGGAAGAGCTCCAAGATTAATTCTATTTAATGCCAATTTCAATCTTACCTCAGGACTTGAGTAATGATTAAAGTATTTTTACAGAGATTTATTGTTTTGAAATCATATCATTTTATATATCTGATGTCTATCTCCCCAATTAGAAAACCAGCTCGAGAGCAGAAATATATTTCTCTTTTGTTTCTTGCCTACTCTATTTCCTTATCTTTACGACACACACACATACTTTAAAGTTCAAAACAATTTCCTTAGTTCATTCATTTAAGAAGTCAATGTCACTAAAAGAGACATTTAACCTAATATTTTTTAAAATTTTTATCAATACAAAATAGTTGTACAAATGTATATGTGATATTTTGATATAAGTATATAATGTATAATGATCCAATCTGAGTAAAACCTCTTTATTATTTGTGTTGAGAAAATTCCAAATCTTCTAGCTATTTCAAAATATACCATAAAACATTGTTAGCTATGGTCACATTAGTGTGCTATTAAACACTAGACCTTACTCCTTCTAACTGTATTTTTATACCTATTAACCATTCTCTCTTCATACCGTCTCCCCACTGCCCTCCCCAGCCTCCAATAACCACCATTCTATTCACTACCTCCATGAGATCAATTTTTTTTTAGCTCCCTCGTATGAGTGAGAGTATGTAACATTTCTCTTTCTGGATACAAATAACATAAAATTTACCATTTTAGCCATTTTTCAGTGTACAGTTCAGTAGTGTTAAGTATATTCACTTTGTTGTGCTACTATCTCCAGAACTCTTCTATTTTGCAAAACTGAAACTCCGTACCCATTAAAAGCTCCCCCTTCTTCCTTCCCCCAATCCCTGGTAATTCCTATTTTACTGTTTCCTTGAGCTTGACTACTGTAGATGCCTCATAAGTGGAATCATGCAGTATTTGTCATTTTGTGACTGGCTTATTTCACTTAGCATAATATCCTAAAGCTTTATCCATATTGTAGCATGTGTTGGAAAACCCTTCCTTTTCAAGACTGAATAATATTCCATTGTAGGATAAACATTTTGCTTATCCATTCGTCCATTGATAGACACTTAGGTTGCTTTCACCTTTCAGCTATTGTGAATAATGCTGCCATGAACATCAGCATTTGCCATGTGCTGTATATATCTGAGACCTTGCTTTCAATTTGAGGGGATATATACCTAGAAGTGAAATGGCTGCAAAAGAGTTTGATATCTAATAGTTATAGATATTTTCACACTATTAAAGAAATCACTGATGCTCTATTAATATTATAGTCAGTTATTGAATGTTCAGACCTGACACTAGACACTGGGAATGTAAAGATCAATAGGATGTGGTCCCTACTTTTAGAAAGCTCACTCACAAGATTTCAACTTCATGATGTATAAACATTCATTGAGTGCATGTGAGTCCTAAGAAAGAAGAGAAAGGCTTCATAGGGGAGGTTACTTTTGAGCTGATTCTCAAGTTATAAGTAGAAATTTACTAGGTAGAGGATCAAGGAAAGGCATCCTAAGGGAAAGAAATAACAGGTACAAAGACACAAGAGGTGGAATAGCACAGTAGACTGAGGGAATCATGAGGTCAGTGTGGCTGTAACGTAGGCTGCGAGGCAGGAACCGGAGAATGAAGAACTAGGGTGAGGCCAGATTGAAGTCTGATTGTGAAGGACACTGGATGACAAAGTAATAGTTAAATTTAACTTGTAGGCAAAGACATTTTCAGAAGGGTCCATCAGGAAAGTGCTGATGTGAATTGCTTCTGAGAATAAGAGAGGGTGGTAGGGAAGATTGGTGCCAGAGATAATAGATAAAAAGCCATTGAAAAAGCATAGGCAAAAGATAATGAGGGCCATCTTTTTGTTTGGTTATTTCTGGTAAAAGTGACTGCTGAAAAGGGTGTGGGGAGACAGAATACCAGAGACTAAACCTTGCTATTCCCTTATTAGCTGTCACTTAACCTCTCTGAGTTGTGGGATCCCATCGATAAAATATGAACAATAATACCCAGAGGATTATGAAGATTGAGCAAAGTGATGCTTATGAATGTGCTTTCTAAACTGCCACATTATGTGCAAATGTAAAGTGATCTCAATATTATTGTTATATACTCATCAATCTGATAATTTATTCAGAGAAGTGCATTATTTTAAATGTATTTTCCAGCTAACAAGTTATTCTATTTTCACTAATAACACAAGGTTGAATAAATCAAACCTCATTAAATAGAAGTCAATTCTTTCCAGTCCCTTGCATTTCAAATTAATGATGTAAAATGGTGTGGTAGGAAAGAAAATGGAGCTGACTAATCATTTCTGATCTACATGGATCCATTTTTGCCCATGTTTTCTCCAAGTTACATGACCTTTACTATCAGTGAGGACTACAACTTTTGGACATGCATAAAACCCAAAAAAGTTCTTCTTGTGTAACCCTTCAGTTTTTCTGAGCCATACACACACAGAAAAGATAGAAATATGGAATATTTGTCAAGATGATATCATATCCTGCAGATGGGCATTATATAAATGCAGATGCTGTTGGGTTATTTAAAGTGCTGTGGATGCAAAGGAGGACATTTTAGTTTTGAACTGACATAGACTCTAGACACAATGATGATAATAGGAGTTAGCAAGACTGTCCATTTATTCCATGCATTAGCAGCCCTGAGTTGTACATTTCCCAGCTACATCATGAGAGGAAGGCATGGCAGCCCTTGAAGGTGTGTGTGTTTTTTTTTCTCCCTGAGAAGAGACAGAACGAAAATAGCAATTATTTTTTTGAATCTAGAATAAATTGCTAAAAATTTGACTTGGAAAAGTAATCATGGAATTGTGAATACTTTTCCTTTCACGTGTGAGGAGTCAGAAGCATAATCGTTAAAATGATTTCGAGGGAAATTTTTAACTAAGCAAAAGAGTTAACATGTCAGTCAGAAAGTAATAGGTTGTTTGCATTGACTGGGCCATGTGTCAATGTTTTTGGCATATATAGTTTGAGTAGGATAGTAATCCTTGATATACAGGGTAAATTGCTTAGCATTTCAAATATCCCTTCAGTTTTGGGGAATAGGTGGTGATGAAGTTCAAAGTGTGGCATGTTGTACCCCGTCTTCAGATACGGCTGCAAGTGTGTACTTATCTGTCTAGCATTAGAATCCTGGGCGGATTTCTTTTACTGGCTCTGTCTCTGGTTTAGGAGAGCTGCCACCTAGGATGCCATCTACTTCCAAATCAAAAATTATCCTTCCTCTTGGTTTTTCTTGCCACAGCAGTATCATTTTTTCTTTCAAATACCGTTTGAATTGTTACTTTTTGCCTCCAAATAATAGTTGGTATTTTATTGACATTTTTTTGCCTTCATTGTTTCCAGAATGAACGTGAATCAGAATTACAGTAACATTTTAGTACATATCTTAGTAAATATTTTCACATATTCTGTCTGTTTGCTTTCTCTCCCAATATCTTTATCTATGAAGATTTTTTCTTTTTATCTCTTGTGGTCCAACCCTTTTGCCATGTCAAGTTGGTTCCCACAGTTAGAGAAATGATTTGGAGGGAAATTTTTAACTAAACAAAAGACTTAACATCAGTCAGAAAATAAGTAATAATACCGGATGTCTTTAACTCCCAATATGTCTAACTATCTATGAGGATATTTTCCTCTTATCTCCTATTGTGTAGACCTTTGGCCATGTCAGGTTGGTCTCCATAGTTAGAGGAAACTAACAACAGTGATGTGAATACCTTCTCTATCAAAGGACACTATTTGGTGAAATAAATCCCAGTGAGATAATTCGGACATTTCCCGCAAAATTACAAATTAAAAATTAAGTAGACCATTACAAGCCAGTAGAGGTAGGTTAGTCAAACTCATTCAAAACCTAGAACTTAGGCACAGCCAGTAGGTAAGAGGGTGATAACTAAGCGACTGCATAAAAGCTGCTGCTACAGTCAGCAGGACATCTTAAACAACAACTGTATCCTAAAACACACCAAAACAGATAGGTAGGTAGGGAGGTAGATAGCTAGCCAGATAGATAGACAGACAGACATATGATATCAGTCACTGAGAAGTCAATGTGTAGAAGAGAAAAAAAATATTCTTTAGGCCATGTCATATTCCTAACAATTTCAAATACCTTAATCGGTTTATCATTTTCCATAGCAGATAAAATAATTTAGATAATATATAAAAAGAGAGAAACAATCTTCATGGATATATTTTGCTTTCCTTTAAAAGGGCCTGTAATTCACCATAACAGTATTCCCCTATAAGCTTCTGTGAAGCAGGTTCCCTGTGCACTGGGTACTAACTTGTCTGAGTCCAGCAGGACAGATCACACATATATACAACAAACAGCACAAAGTGAGTTTATTACTTACAGATAGACATCAAGAGACAACAGAAGCTTAGGATTCAGGGTGAGTCGGTCACCCAAGACTCAGGAAAACACTATCCAGAACAGATTTCTTGTCTGCAGGTGCCCCACTTGCACAGCAGCTGAAGGACCACAGAATGCAGCCCACTCTGGGTTTTATACCCTGGGTCCATGTGATTCACTGGGCTAAAGTATTGTAAAGGACATTCTGTTTCTTAGAGGAGAGGGGACTAGAACAGAGTCCAGGCTATCTGGCCGGTCTCTTCCTATCTCATGACATTGCATTCTCACAACATTCTAGAGTTATTCTGAGAACTATAAGCAAAAAAGAGGAAAAATTGGATCAGTCCAAGGCTGCCCACAGAACTGCTCTTTAGCAACATGTTCCAAGCTGTCAGAAAAAAAAAATACCACATTATATTTATTTGGAGACCTTCTTAAGAATCTTCCAAGGTAATTCTGTTAACGGGTTGTACATCAACCTTGGAACTTGATCCCCTACTTAGGTGGCTCTGCTCTGGTAGCATCCACCATTTGGAGAGGCAGTGCAGTGTAAAGCAGGAGTTAAATGCTGTCATTCTGGAGCCAAATTGATTGGCTTCAATATTTTTGCCCGAGGATTCATTAACTGTGACTGGGTATGTTGCTTACCCCACCATGTCTCAGCTTTCGCATCTGCAAAATAATAGTTTCTCCTCTCTAAGGAGGGACTCCACATTACAGAGTGTTAAAACCACTTACAAAACTTGGTACAGATTAAATAAAAAAAAAAATGGACAGAATTACTTTCCTTCCCTTTTCTATTTTTCAAAGCCAAAGTCCTGCAATATCTAGGGTACCTGACTAATGTTGCTGCATCAAAATTCAAGCAATGCTGGAAAAAACATCAGCCTTCCCTTCACATTGGCTACCACTATGGTTGAAAGCAGTGCCACAGTTGCGAGATTTCACATGTGGGCTAAAGAATCCAGCCACGTCTTTGAGTTACCCAATTATCTTAATGGGAACAATGAGTTGTGTTAAAACTGAAAGCCCTTCCCTGACCACTAGTTGAAATTGGGTCCTCTAGTCACATACTCTCAAATCATCCTGTACTTCTCCTTCATCATACATACCACGATTTTATTTAAATAATTATGTAGTGTCCACCACCCCTCTGTTCCTGCCATTACCCAGCCCTCATGCCCCAGCATGTAAACTCAATGAGGATTGATCCAGTCTTCCAGTGTTTAACATAACACTTTGGGCGAAGCAGGTACTCAATAAATATTTACTGAATGAATAAATGGTAGATGGCAATTATATACGTGTATAGATTTAGATATTTTCTACTTTTAAGTGTAAGCTATGAGTCAGGAATGAGACCAACATCCATTTCTATATTGTCAGTTTCAAAGTCAGCTATATGCGTCACCATGTAAGTGTTCACTCAGTTCATCTGAATTTAACAAACACTTCTTGAGTACTACCATGTGCTACAGTACTCAGAATATAGAGATGCTTTCAACAAGTTCACCCTCCCCACATACCCTTTTCCCATCCAAACACACCAGTGGGGAAACTTTATATTATGATTTCATGAAACAAGCATTTGTTGAGTGATTACTGTGTACTCTGTTAAACATCTCTAGCCTGTGTTTCTTCCTTGGGTCTTCTTTTAATGGTACACACAGGAACACTTGCTCTCTTTGTTATGTATTGTGTGACTTTGCCTGTGAATAATCATTGCAGAGGAATAAATGGGTTCTTCTGGGTGAGCCACCTGTATTTGCAGCAATGCTATGTATTTGTTGTACATAGACCGGGAAGTGTTGCAGTTAAACATTTAACTTAGTTTTTCTTTTTTTTAAATTTTTTTTCATTATACTTTAAGTTCTAGGGTACATGTGCACAATGTGCAGGTTTGTTACATATGTATACATGTGCCATGTTGGTGTGCTGCACCCATTTTTACCCTCCTAAGTTCCTTGCAAATCTGATGGCTTGCCACAGCAGCATGCTTTCCAGTCAGGGAGTCTATCATTTCCATCTTAAGACTCTGCTGTCTCAACATTTAACTTGCAAGGTTGCTATGGCAGGGGACACAAACCATGGAAATCTCACTGTTCTTCTCTTTGGCCCAGACTGACATTACACTTATTGTCCATTGATCAGAGAGAGTCACACGACCCTACCTAACTGCAATGGATCCAGGAAGGAGCAGAGAACCAGACATGTCTAAGTGCTAAAAGTCTTTACCACACTGTTATATTATCCTTTTGTCAGGAGCAACTTGAATCAGTGGAGAGAACTGTGAGATAATCACAGACCACTAAAGCTGGACTTGATTAGAGAACATCTTCCATTCTCTGATTTTGCACCAGAAGGGACTGAGGCGAAAAGGTCACCCACAATTTCAGAACTAGTTAGAGGCAATACAGTAACTAGAAATTAGGTATCCAGAATCCCTAGCTGGTGAGAATAATGACGGCATGAACCATGCTTCTCATGGCACAGTCCCCTGTCTTTCCACATGGGCTCCTCATCAGTAGGAGGCAGCAGAATCAAATAAAAACAGAGCCTTTATGGAGTCACCCAGAGCCAAGCATTTCATATCAGTTGATTAAATGGAGTAGGAGCCTTCTATCTAATTTCAGTAGAAATTCCAGTTCCTTGAGCTTTCTATTTTCATGCAGTATATTATTTGCAATGAGAAATTCAGTAGGCAGGAACTGAATTTTGTTGAGCCCTGAGGCCTGGATTTTAAATTTTTATTAAGTATATATGTTGCCCTCCCACATCAAGCACAGATAGTTAAATTCTGGTTTGGAAAATTTGCTGGCATTTGTTGGGCACATATGAACTGCATTGTATCCTCTAGCACAGATAGCTTAGTTTGTATAGGTTATTCTCCCCTATTTATAATTTTTAGTGATGTTGAGAATAGATTTAGAATTTAGCAGTTTAATTTCCCACATTAGCTGAAAACACATTTGGTAGAAGAGAAGTTTTTAAAGAGAATATTCTTAAAATTGCCTTACTTGGGGTTCAGTTCATAGGATGCCAAAATACACTGAATTGTCTGTCTCTCTTCTTCCTTCACAGTCCCCTCTTTTCATGTATCTAGACCAAACATGCTTCTCTACTCAAGGGCCCTTTGTGCACTGACATGAGGGGTGACAAAAGAAGGTGGTAGTGGTAAACAACTTATTCGCAGGAGATGGAATCCCTCAGCCTTGACATCAGCTAAACCCCAAAGTGCCCTCTGATGCGTGTATACACTCAGATGATCTTACAGAGCCTTCTGGAGGCACAGCAGGCAGGAGCACAATTCAGTCCATTTCAAGTGCCACTGCACAACCACTTCTGGACTTTTCCCAGGAAACTTCCTTCCATCTTTAGAAGCTCCCTCAGCACAGCCTCTCCCACCCTGCCCAGCAGTCTGAATATTCTAATACCATTCCATTTTCTCAAAGTCACCCAATATTAAAAAAAAAGATGAAAAAAAATTAAGATTAGGTCTCAGCTTTCTCCTCCTTTTCAAATTCTGCTTCTTTAGCCCAGTACCCTCCAGCTGTGCATGGATATCAGTGACTTTTCAGATCCAATGCCAACTTCAGTCTGGAAATTGGCTGGCAAGCATTGCCAAGAGACCAGGCAATTGGCCAGTGCCCTCTGATAAATGTATACTTCCCCCTCCCTTCTCTGTAAACCAATTAGCTTCTTGTGCTGGCATGACTCTCCCCAGTCTGAGCCAATGCCCAAAATGGGAATTCTAGCATGCAACTCAATATGCTCCTCCTTAGCAAAAGGACAGCTAAAGAGAGACTTTAATCACAATGTTATACAAATTAATTGAGAATAGAACAGGTAAGATTTGTCAGAGTAACTAGATCACACTCAAGACAATACCCCTTTGCTTAGAGCCCACAGGTGCATGTGGCATTTGTCTGTGAGACACCATATATATCCTTGATAACCTTTATTTATTACCTTGCACTAAATTACTGGGACCTTGGTCAATTCATTGAACCTCCCTGGGCTCCACCCCTCTGAGCTGCAGAGTGGGGATCTCATATTCTTGTTGTTCTTTCTCACACTGTATAAAAGTGAGATGTGGTTATTAAAATGCTTTTAACAATTATAAAATAATATACAATAATTACAAAGTCATTTATTTTTTGCTGGGGTATTAAAAGGTATAACCATTTGAAAACTAATTTGTAGTATTACTGCATCAATTAGAATTACACCTGGCTGTCTGTGACAGAAAATCCAAAACAGGTGCTTCCATATAAAATATGTTCATATTTCTCCAATAAAGTGTCAAGAAATGAAGTTTGTTGCTGGTAAGGTAGCTCCAAGAAGGTACCCAAATTTCTTCTAGTCTGACATCCCCACATTGGCATCTCTATTCTCACAGTCCAAGATGGCCCCTAGACCTCCAGTCCTCATATCTATATTGCCGATACCAGTAAAGAAGAAAAGAACAAAGAGAAAGAAGGGACAATGGATATATGCAAGCTTGCATTTAAGAAAATATTCTGAAAACTGCCACGCATACACTTCCACTTAAATATCATTAGCCAGACTTTAGTTAAATAGTCACACTTAGAAGCAAGGGAGGATAAGAAATGTCTCTTCCAGATATCCATGTGTCCAATTTGAAAAATCAAGTGAGAATGGGTTTTAGGGTTGGCAACCAGCAGTTTCTGCTCCACCTAATAAAATTGAACATATATATACCCTATGACCCATCAAGGCCATATGTAATTATATGCTTTATAGAAACTGTCTCATATGGCTAGACAGAAAAACACACAGGGGTTTTCACTGTGGCAGTTTTTCAAAGAATAACATTGTCTGAAGGAAAGGAATGAGTAAATAAATTGGTTTATTCTTACTACAAATCATACATCAACATACATGAGTTAATTACTTTCATTTACATAAATCAACCTAGATATATCTCAAACAATTTTGAGTGGGAAATAGCAAGCTAAAAAACGTATATGAAGTATGACACTATTTATGCAAATTTTAAAAGTACATGGAACAATACTATTTATTCTTTATGAATACAATTATATAGAGAGAAAATGTTTAAAATATATCTGGATGATAGACCACATATACAACGGTGGTCCCATAAGATTAATATATGGTATTTTTTACTGTACCTTTTTATGTTTAGATATGTTTAGATACACAAATTCTTACCATTGTGTTACAATTGCTTACTGTATTCAGTACAGTAACCTGCTGTACAGGTTTATAGTCTAGGAACAATAGGCTACACCATATAGCCTAGGTGTGTCATAGGCTACACTATCTAGGTTTGTGTAAGTACACTCTATAATGTTGAAAATGCCTAATGACACATTTCTCAGAACATGTCTCCCTCACTAAGCGACACATGATTGTAATTATAGAATTCTAGGCAAAATACTTATTGGCTGTAGTTGCTATCTCTTATTGCATTACCTTTGGAGTCATAAGGTAGGTGCCAGCTAAATACGTAGAAAGTCAGTAGAGACCTATTCACCCCAAAGAATGGAATATGTGTACTGACTTCCAAAAATCGCCTAGTGGTTAACCAAAGGTTCTGCACATACCTCTATTTCAGGTGACAGGTTAGAGACTATTACCTATAAGCAAGGTACAGTTTATTTTATATCTTTTGTATTATCTTAAAAGTTTCTTATTCTACTGCTAGAGATTCTTTCCTTCGGCAATTCTGTGCCATGCCTTTCCATGCTTGAGAAAGGGAGGGGCATTCAGGGAAAAAATATAGTTAAAGTGAATTTTCACTAGGAGGACACACACTAAAGTTAGAACTAGTTCCTGTAGAAACTTCACCTACAACTAAAGAAAAGTCTACTGCTCATTTTTATTGGGTATTAGTGAAATACATACGTCATTTATTGACATAAAGGTCTATATGTAAAGAAACAAATTGATTTCTTTTAAAGTCTTAAAAATCAACTATCCTCTGACTAAACAGAAAAGTTTTGTTAAGCAGAAAACCTTTCCACTGATTATTAGCCTGCCTATAAATTTCAGCTTTCAAATGCCATAGGACTATATTCTTGGTCTTTGGAGAATTTCTCCCAACAGATTCCTATATGTACAAAAAGATTCATACAAATGTGGGGGTTCCATTACAGATTCCAAAAGAAGATCTCTTTCCCTTCTGCTTTTTTCTTGGTTTTATGTACAGCAAGGAAGAGATCGCAAAGGAAATTCCATTCCTACTCTAAAAATTGAAATGGCAGCTTATATTTTAGGTGGTCTTAGCATTAGTTATTTTCCAAGGAGAAAGAAACCAGTGTTATTTTTCTAAATGAAAAGAAGCTAGTGAAAAAAATTATAAATATTGCTTGGTTTCCAATTCTTAAGGGAGTGGTGTCCAGAGAGAAACAAAATGCCTTGTTTTGATGTCATTTGAATGTCCAAAGTTGATACCTTTCACAAATGGAGTAGATACCTCTGTGGCTTGCCTGGAGAACTTTCAGAATAGCCTCCAAACTAAAACTATTTTATTCACCAGCTTGCCTCCATACCTGAAATCCCTACTAGTTACATTCTTTTTCTGTGCCTCTGCATTCCTTATAAGAATTCTACTACTTCCTTAGGCCAGGTGCAGTGGCACACACCTGTAATCCCAGCACTTTGGGAGGCCGAGGCAGGCGGATCACCTGAAGTCAGGAGTTCGAGACCAGCCTGACCAACAGGGAGAAACCCTGTCTACTAAAAATGCAAAATTAGCTGGGTGTGGTGGCGAATGCCTGTAATCCCAGCTACTCAGGAGGCTGAGGCAGGAGAATGACTTGAACCCGGGAAGCAGAGGTTGCAGTGAGCCAAGATTGCACCACTGCACTCCAGTCTGGGCAACAAGAGCGAAACTCCATCTCAAAAAAATAAATAAATAAAAATTTTAAAAAAAGAATTCTACTACTTCCTGCTGCCAACAATGCAGCAAAGTTGACAACATAATATTTGGTAAAATAATATACGTGATTACTAATAGTTTGTTCTTTTATTTTTGAGTAGCTTCTCACTGTGTGTGTGTTCCAAATGTTATACATCCATTCACCACTTGATGACTATTTGGGTTTTTCCACTTTGTACTATTATGAATAAACCTGGTATGGACATTCACATTTAAGTCTTTTCACGAACACATGGACATTCACATTTAAGTCTTTTCACGAACACATGCTTTCATTTTTCCTGGATAAATGCCAAGAAATGACATTGCTGGGTCAAACGGTAAGTGTATGTTTGACTTTACAGGAAATATCCAAACTGTTTTCCAAAGTGAATTTATCATTGTACATTCCCACCAGTACTGTAGAGGGTTTTAGTTGGCCTATGTCCTCAAAGTAACTTCTGAAAGGAAGATAGAAAACAATAACAAGAGGAGACAGAGAGTTTAGTATAATATAAACCCCTTTACAGGATCTTCCAGTGTTGAAAACTACCTCCTAGTAGCTGCCCTTCTCTCTCATCTACCTCACTTGTTTCTGCCTACAGATGTTCAAAGATGGGTACTACCCTAAAAAGAGTAGCATCCATCTCCTTGGCTAAGGCAAAGGTCTGCCTTAGATTATCAAAGTGTTTGGAGGCTGTTTACCGGTTTTCTTTCTCCTGCTTTTTCAGATTTATCAGCTTTCCTGATTCCTGTTTGCCTACATTTAAGACCTTTTTACACCTCCTTTAATCTCTGAGTTGTGCCTTCCTTGCTTGTCATCTGCCTGATGAACTTGTTTTTATGTTTCTTTTTCATTAGTGCATGGACTCTGACTTCCCTACTTTGTTCATACTGAAGGTTTTATTTTGACTCTTCTTGAAAAGTGGCCTAAGCTGGCCGGGCACGGTGGCTCATGCCTGTAATCCCAGCACTTTGGGAGGCCGAGGCGGGTGGATCACGAGGTCAGGAGATCGAGACCATCCTGACTAACACGAAGAAACTCCGTCTCTACTAAAAATACAAAAATTATCCGGGCGTGGTGGTGGGTGCCTGTAGTCCCAGCTACTCGGGAGGCTGAGGCAGGAGAATTGCTTGAACCTGGGAGGCGGAGCTTGCAGTGAGCCAAGATCACGCCACCGCACTGCAGCTTGGGCGACAAGGCGAGACTCCGTCTCAAAAAAAAAGAGAGGAAAGAAAAATGACCTCAGCCAATTTGGTCACACCAATTATGACCTTTTTGGTAGATAATTATAGCCACTATATAGAATTACAGCCATAGCCTCTCCAACATGAGCAAGTTTCTACATTCTCCAAGATATGGTGACATTTATGAAACTCATTTTTAATAGCAAACAGGCACAGAACAGTTTATACAACTTGTTTTGTAAGTTCAATGAAACCCTAGTTCTCTGTCCTTTTAAAGATGCCTACCTTATCTTGCATAGGAGATTCACTAGAGGCAGATGAATCAATATCAGAAGCAGAATTTCATGTCCCTGATAACCTACACTGGCATGAATGGCTAGATACAGGATAGAGCCACAGGCACCATCCTTGAGGGTACAGGCTACAGAAGGTCTGCTAGATTCGTAATTTCTATTTACGAAAGGGTAGGGAATGTTTTTAAAATACTCTATCCATTCCATATACCACAAATACCACTCATTTCACCAGTAAAAGCCTACTTTTAAAGTTTATTATGCCAACTAATGAACTACAAATTTCACCAATGAAAACTCCTTTTTGGCTTTCACTCTAACGTCTGGTGCTAATCAAAGATAATATAACCAAAAGCACTTATAATAATAGGCACATTTAGGGCATGGACCTTCTGAAAACATCTTATCTGGCCACCTCTGAAAACCAAATTTCTGATTAGAACAGTATATAGCATGTTACTTAAACTAAGCAGTACCCACATATACACACACTACTTAATTTTTTTGAAAAAGTATTTTAAAGTATATTGTAGATACCATAACAACCCTGGAATCCTGCCTTGGAAATAACATTTATTGAACACCCACTATATGCCAGGCAGTCTGCTAGGTGTTTTATAATTATACTTAACATACCTCATCTAGAAAATTATAACTCGAGAAGTAGGTATCATTACGCACACTTATTTTAAAAAGAATTTTAATTTGCCCAAGGTCATTTGAGGCAGTAGAGCTGGTGTTAAAATCAAAGTCTACTGATCCTCACAGTGATATTTTAGCGAATTTTCAGTTTAAGTGATATAAACACATTTTTTTCTAGGATCTACTCAAAGATATAACTAAGTCACTGTTTTTAAATCTTTTGTTTGTTTTTTAATCCTTCTTACACTTTTTTGGTTAGTAAATAGCTTGAAGAATCTAATTAAAGTACTTGTCTTTCTTCCTATTGGAATGGACAAACATGCCCAATTTTGCCAATAACTTCAAAAGGGTTGTGAAAACTTCCTTTTTCCTCCCAAGTCCCTGAATGAATCTTAGATTAAGAATGCTTGCAACAGGGAATGTTAAATGTTTCTTTACTATAGGATTGTAATCTACACTATTTGCTCTGGCTTTTTTGTTTGCACTTCTGAATGTGTTACTTTTTTCTAAGATACAACAGCTGTTTACCTTCTCTCTAATTGTGCTTCTTCATTTTGTAATGTCTCCGGACATAATTGATTTGTGAAGACCAGCAGCAGGAACCCCTTTTTGGTGACTACACTTGCAAGGTGTGTGTTATACCATTTTCCCTGTATTCATATCTCAGAAACTGTATCTGATGACTGTCCAAAGCCACTATGGAAATACAGTCTCCAAACCAAAGGCCCATCCAAGATTCAACTGGCCATGAAGTGGCCTCACTTTGATCACCTGAGCACAACATCACACCTGTCTTTCTGTGTCCCTCCAGGTTCTTTAATGCTATTGACATTATATGAACTTTCCTAGACTTGGTATGGTGGCAGTTCTCTGTGTCATGTGACCAAAGTCCTTCTCTAAAGCCAGTCTGTAAGCCATTGTTAGCGTAATTTAAACATTAATTATGAAAACTGTCCCCCAAATGCCATGAAAATAAATAAACTACTGAGCCACTACTGAGCAAACTACCTTACTGCTGAGGCTTAGACAAACAGTAGAATGATTAGTAAAAATGCATTACTAGGCTCAGTTATATTTCACACAGTATTTGACAATCCATAGGGCCCACTTCTCTTTCCCCCATAAATAAGATATACAATTTAATGGTTCTCTTTTATCTCACACATCATAGAGAATCTGCAAGAATGTCACTTAACCTCTTCAATTCATCTTTCACTGGCTATATACTTACAGATATGAATGAACAGAAATAGTAGCAGTTTTTATTTTTTGCTATGAATATGTACTTTTATATTGCCTCTGATAAAGTGAAAATATATATTCCATTATGGAAAAATTGCCAATGCCATACATTAAGAATGATTCTGAAGCTTACTAAAATACAACTAGCTACGCAATTTGGCATTTTTGGTCCATGTTGAATCCATTCCAAAGTATTTCATTACATAAAAATTACTAAAAGAACCTCCTCTCAATTGAGTTTTTTCAATAATTCAATCTTCAGGCATATGTAGAAACATTAGCATGAAAATGAAACGATAATGCAAGGTAACCATATAGGAGTTTATTCTAGGCAGAAATTAATGAAAAATGATCTAGTATTAAAACTATGCTCTGCTAAAAAGGAACTTCTTTTTTGTTTGTTTGTTTGAGGCAGAGTCTTGCTCTGTCGCCCAGGCTGGAGTGCAGTGGCCCAATCTCGGCTCATCGCAAGCTCCCCCTCCCGGGTTCACGCCATTCTCCTGCCTCAGCCTCCCGAGTAGCTGGGACTACAGGCGCCCGCCACCACGCCCGGCTAATTTTTTGTATTTTTAGTAGAGACGGGGTTTCACTGTGTTAGCCAGGATGGTCTCAATCTCCTGACCTCATGATCTGCCCGCCTCGGCCTCCCAAAGTGCTGGGATTACAGGTGAGAGCCACCGTGCCGGCCAGGAACTTCTTTTTTAATCCATTCAATGATGATTCTTAAAAGAGGCCATCCACTATAAGGTGATGATCAAGCACGTTTTGGCAACACCAGATACAGGCAACATTTTGAGAAGTTGCATTTTCCTTAAAAATATCTTTGTTTTCCCTGTAACATTTCAAAGCACTTTGATCTTAGTTTTTATCTCATTCTTACTAAACCTTACTAAATTTAAGATTCGATGGGTCAATCAGTTTTTTTCTCATATATAAAATAGGGGCAGTAACAGTAACTACTTAATTTTCTTGTTATGCAAATTAAATCAAATAAAAAGCCTGGCATAGAAGACTTCTGGTTTCAGCTCCAACATAGAAAAAGCTTGTAAATTGTCAACCCTGCCCTTACAACAGAAAAGCCTGGGCAAACTACAACCAAAACACTTTTTTGGACCCATTATTAAAACTGAGGTCATAAGGCAAATAAGCACTCCACAATCTAGAGAAACAGACACAACTAGAGAGACACAGCCAAGATCTGCCTACCTGGAACATACACAGCTAGAAACGTAAGTGATAGGAACACTTATATGATAATTTTGGTGAACTGCTGAAGGCAAAGCATGGACAGCATGAGAGTGAGGAAATTCTGAGAGTTTCAATGTTAGGAGGGTCCCCATATTTTCATGGGTTTTACTTCCAGAAATCCCACAAGGTTCTTACGATAAAGATCAGAGAAAGATTTCCCTCTTACATCTCTGGCTCTGGCAAGGGATGGGGAAATGCAGTCATCAATATGAAACAAGCCTAGAGCTTAATTCTTTATAACAAAGACCTATTCTCCAAGAGAGAAAACTTTGCCAAAGAATACTCTGTTTACCTCAGTTCCTATCACTCAATACAACATAACTGGTTTCAGCAAAAATTACAAGGCTAATAGGAATGGAAAAGCTACGTAACTTTGGAAGAAAGCATGGCAGAGTCTTATCTCAGCTAGCTCCTCCCACACCACCAGCCCACATACCTCTAGCATCAGCCCTCTCCTCCTCTCTGCAGCCTTCCTGTCTCATCTAAGGTTAAAAAGTCAATAGAGTAAGTATTAATCCATTCTCATGCTGCTAATAAAGACATACCCTAGACTGGGTAATTTATAAAGGAAAGAGGATTAATTGACTCACAGATTCACATGGCTGGGGAGGCCTCACAATCATGGTGGAAGGCAAAGGAGGAGCAAAGTCACATCTTACATGGCAGGAGGCAAAGACAGCTTGTACAGGGGAACTCCCGTTTATAAAACCATCAAATCTCATGACACTTATTCACTACCATGAGAACAGTATGGGGGAAACTGTCCCTATGATTCAATTATCTCCACCTGGCTCCACCCTTGACACATGGGGATTATTATAATTCAAGGTGAAATTTGGGTGGAGACACAGCCAAACCATATCAGTAAGGGATTCAGAAAAATAGATTGGACATTCTGAAGTCATGGTGAGGGGTGAGGATAGGAGTGAGAAAGTTATGCCATGGAGAAATAAAAACTTGGGAAGGTCCAGAGACACAGGCCCATGGAAAGACAGAGATTTAATCATAAGACAATAGAATGTCTCCCTTCCCCATACCTGATCACAACACCAATGTAACTTCCACTGGTGTATGATGATAGCAGATTACAGCTAAAGAGCTGCAAGATGCAGACTTCCTCTGGGGAGTATCTTGGGAAGCCCAAAATTAAGAAAGGAGACAAAAGCTTTAACACTAGAGAAATTTGAAGTCTCTGGCACCTACAGCTACAGCATACATTAAACACAGTCCAACCACTAGACTGACTTAATCCTCACACTGAAGTCCCATTTATCTCCATTTCTACCACCCAATGCAACACAAAAGTGAACCTTCCTTAACATATAAATTTTTTAAAAATTATTTAGGAGCCTGGGGGTTTCCAGGATGTAATGGGGAATGTGACAAAATAATCTCACTGTATTATAAATATATAAAACAATCTCACTGGAGGAGGTGAGGGGAAACAGTGCTTACTAGTGCAACTTTGAAAATGAGAGGAGCTTGCAAAACTAAAGACAACAGAAACTGTACATAATACTGTGCTCAATTGATTAAGTTGTTTCCCGTGAGGGTATGAGTTAACAATTCTGCTACCACGATACGTGTATACTGGAATTTAAAAAATAAATAGATGGCTGATGTTGGGAGCCAGGTTTCTTACTTTGGAGGGGAAGTTACAAATAGGCAAGAGATTGAGGCTAGAATGATCCATGATACAGTGGATTAGAATAGGGGACATCAGTATTAATTTGTGTATACCCTAATAAAGATACTGATGGTTACATATAGAAATATGTATAAATACATTTATATACACAGGTTAGTATACACACTCATTTCCTTGCTTTGTCAACTGAAAGGACCAAAAGTTGTAGCACTTGGTTACAATGAGCATGCCCAGTATCCAGATCTTGGTTTCCAATCCTCCAATAAAGGGAATCAGGGATCTTAGAGAAGTGGTTGAGTCGTAGACTAGAGCAGAAGATGTACAAGATAAGCGTGAAGCATCTTACAGTATCAAATAGTATGTGGACAGCATGAGAGTGAATTCTCTCTCTCTCTCTCTCTCTCTCACACACACACACACACACACACACACACACACACACACCCTATAACAGGGCATGGTCAAGGGACATAGGAGCCAACTGAAACAGCTCCCAGTGGTCAAAGCTGGAATAATTTGAACCAGAAAGTAAAGTATTATTATATTGTAATGTAAATAAATAAATTAGGGAGAATAAACAAATGCCCCATGTAGGAGAATTCTAAGTAATTTATGTAGATATACCATCCTCAAGAGGGCAGAACATAACTCACTACTTCTTATAGTGGGGTATATATAGTGACTTCCTTCCAAAGAGTACAGTATAGAAAGGGAAGGGGGACTAGTAACTTTTATAGCTGAGAGAACTGACACACATCACCTTAGCCAGGATATCAAGGTTAACACATCAACAGTGATGTCATTTTGATAGTATGTACCCTTGATATGATGTGATGAGAATGACACTTTACCTCTGTTTTCTTCCTCCCCAAAAATCTATAATACCAGTCTAATCATGAGAAAAACATCAGAAGAATACCAATAGAGGAACATTCTGCAATATATACCAGACTCCGTAAGACTGTCAAGATCATCAAAAAACAAGAAAAGGCTGAGAAACTATCACAACCAAGAGAAGCCTAAGACAACATCATGACTAAATGTAATGTATTCAGGATAGGATCCTGGAATAGAAAAAGGACACTAGGTAAAACCTAAAAAAAAAAAAATCAATAAATTATGGATTTTAGTTAATAATGTATCAATATTAATTGTGCAAATGTACCATAATAATGTACCTATAATAAGTATTTCAGTCAGGGTCTCACTCTGTCACCCAGGCTAAAGTGCAGTGTTGCAATCAGGACTTACTGCAGCCTTGACCTCCTGGGCTCAAGCAATTCCCCAACTTCAGCCTCCCAAGTAGCTGGGACCACAGGCTTGCACCACCATGCCCAGCTAATTTTTGTATTTTTTTGTAGAGACAAGGTTTTGCCATGTTGCTCAGGCTGGTATTGAATTTCTGAGCTCAAACAAGCTGCCTGCTTCAGCCTCCCAAAGGGCTGGGATTACAGGTGTGAGCTACTGCGCCTGGCTTTAATTAAAAGTATTTGAAACTGAGTGCCAGGTATAGGGGAACCCTGTACTATCTTAATCTTTCTATATCAAACTGTTCTAAAATTAAAAGTCTACTTTTTAAAAAGTAGGTAGCATGATCTCTACCTCATGGAATGTACTTAATAAATGTCAACTGTTATTATCTTCTACCTGACAAATACTAAGTCACCAGGGATTTCTATGGTCAAAGAGAAGTCAGATAATTATTGGATGCTTAAATAGAATATTGACCTGTAATTAACCTGAATAATTCTAGATCTAAAAAGAAATGACTAAAGCATAGATTAGCCAGATTACCAGTCTCTCATTTTGCTTCAAGAGCCAACCATAGAATAATATGAGAGTCAGAATATAAGGTAGAAAAAATACAAATCCTAAGTGATTTTCTCTCTTAACCTATAAGCGAAAATGAACAATATTGCCTACTACCAAAAGCCTTGTATTGCTTTCAAGGTGATGTCATCTAGTCCACTTTTGAAAGCTTACTGCATAGTCCTCACAAGGTCATTTATATTTCAATAGTAAAGACCCTTAAGGTATAAAAGCATGCATGCAATATTACTAAGGCTCAGAGAGGCCGTTTAAAAATATTGGAGGAGATAAGAGATGTGAATAGAAATAATCGAATATTTCATTGGATAATTGTCTGCTTTTTAAAAATTACTAACATTCCTTGGCATTCATCCCTTTTCTCATCTTTCAAATATATCCTTTTGAGAAATTTTAAGTTGCTGAAATATTGCCAACTAACCATTCATTTACAATCAGGGCCATGCGGGATGTGGGGGGAAATGTTGCAAAGCTTTATTTCAAGACTATTTTTCACTTTACAAAATGAAGAAACTCCTATAATTTCCCATAGCTTTGGAAGAACCACATAAATATAATCTCACCTCTGAATTTACTATACCTCACCCAACCTTCCCATGTTTTGTCTTCTAGATAGGTTGCAGTTACCAAGATTTGCCTCCATCATTTCTGATTTCTTTGTACAAATAAATTCATAGACTCATGACAAGCCTTGGATTTAAAGGTTTCATTGTGCTGTTAATGGAAAAACTAGCACACAACCTTGCTTCTGCCATTGCCCACCAAGGTGCATCTTTTTAAAAAAATTTATGGCTTAATCAAAGCCATTGCCTATATTTATATTTTAATACTAAATTTTCCTATCAAAGATGATATGTAAAATATTGAATTATATACAGGATACAAAATAATCTAGTTTTTAATACTCCAAAAATATCTGCCCATCAAAAAGTCCCTCTGCATCCCCTTCTCATTAGGATGCATAAACAATAGTACGTATACAATGGCTACACTGGCCAGTTTAAGAGTTTTTCCCAGCATGAGTTATAAAGCTGGTCAAGTTAGTCATGAGAAGGCTTTGTTTTCTAGCACACAGTTTTTATTCTCAGAACCACCTGCTTTAAGCATGATGTCAACACATCCCTAAGTGTACATTTATACTAAAGTATATTCCTCCCCTTTCAGGAGTATTTCCATTTTAATAACAATGCCTAAAGACTTTCTAAAAATCCCATGAAGTTAAAAGGTGCAACTCTCTAATGGTGGAATTTTATACTCAGATAATGGAGGGAATGGAAAGTGGAAATGCTCAAAGCTGCTTGAATCACACCCAGACCGGCAGCCTCATATTCTACTGTTTTTCATTTATTTTTTGTACATAGCCTCTTGCTATGTGAAATCACTTCACTTTGTCTAAATTATATTTCTTTCATAAAAACAGAGTTTAAACAGCATTAAATGGCATTTCAATAAAATCCATATGTAATTCCATCTCAAGCACAGATTTTGCAAACATTTTTACATTGCTAGATTTTATTTTAATTGTTGCAAACCGTAAATTTAGTTTCTTTGCATTCCACTTCCTAATGTGTTCGTTCATTTAAAAAATACTTAAGTACCTACTATGTGCCAGGTACTGTTCTAAGTGTTGGAAATATATCTTTGAACAAACAGATAAAATTCCTGAGTTCATGGAGCTTACATTCTATTGAAGGGCAGAAATATGTACACAATAAATATAATACCTAAGAAAATGGTATATGCTATTTTTTAAAATAATAAAGCAGGGTAAGAGAGCTTAAGTGTGAAGACTGGGAAGAAAGATAAAATGTAAGATAATGTAGCTGGGGTAGCTATACTTGCATGGTGACATTTGAGCAAACACTTGCAAGAGATTAGTTAGACATGTGGGCATCTGGGAAAAGATACTTCTAGAAAGAGCAAATAGTCAGTGCAAGTTGCGAAGTATCTTCCATGTCTGAGAAGCAACAGAGTGGCCCGTATGGCTAGGGCAGAGGGAATAACAAAGAGGGTAGAAAAAGATGATGTCAGAGAGGTAATAAAGGCCAAAAAACGTAGGGCCTTGTAAGCCATTTTAAGGACTTTGGCTTAATTATTATGCAATTTTTCGGCAAGTGGTTAACCATTTTAAGGCTTACTTTATTTAATATGTAAAAAGAGGAGCAACCAACTAAAAAAGAGGTACTGCTAATAAACCAATATGAAGTTGAAATGAAATAATAAATATTAATTGATCCAAAATAAGATAAAAAACAAACACATAAAAAGAGGGAAAAAAAGGAACATAAAAGATGGAGATAGCAAATTAAACCCAACCAAAAGACAACAATCATTTCATTAAATGTAAATGGTCTAAATATAAAGAGCATATTGTCAAATAAATAAAAAACTAAAATCTAACTATATGCTGTCTATAGGAAACATGCCTTGAATATAAAGCACAGGAAGGTTAAAAGTAAAAGAATGGAAAAAGATATGTCATACTACATCTAATCAAAAATAAAGTTGGGGTAGCCATATTAGTATCAAACAAAGTAGATTTCAAAGTAAAAACTCTTATGAGGACAAACATCACAATAAAAAAGAAGACAATATACCAATAAAACATAACAAATCTAAATGTATCTGTACCTAATAACAGAATTTCAAAATATAACCAAAAGTTTATAGAACTGAAAAGAGAAATGGACAAATTCATAAGTATACTTGGAAATACCAAAATTCCCTTCTCTATAATTAACAGAATAAGTAGACTAGAAATAACTAAGAAGACTTGAACACCACCACATGCTAGACCTCACCAACATTTGTAGAACACTACACCCCAAAATGGCAAAACACACATTAGAAAATGGGCATTGAATATTTACCAAGCTAGCCCATGTAAAAAATATTAATAAATACAAAGAGACTGAAATTGTAAGATGCATATTCTCTGACCACAACACAATCATAGCAGAAAACAATAATTAAAAGATATCTGGAAAATCTCCAAAAATTTGGAAATTATGCAGAACATTTCTATATCATGGGTCAAAAAGAATCACAAGGGAAATTATAAAGTACTTTGTACTGAGTGAAAATGAAAATACAACATATGAAATGTGCAGAATGTAGTCAAACATGCCTTAGAGGGAGATATGCAGCATAAATTACTTGTAATCAAAAACACGAAAAATTTCAAATCAAGTCTCAACTTACACTTTAGGAAACTTGAAAAAGAAAAATTAAAACCAAGCCAAAGAACCAAAAAAGGAAGTAAAAATAAGAGTAAACATTAATAAATAAAAAGATATATCAATGAAAGCAATGAAAATAAAAGGAGAGATACATCAATGAAAGCAAAAGCTGTCCTTTGATAAAACTCTAGCAAATGTAAATTGGAAAAATGCAAAGAGAAAATAATTACCAAGCTCTAGAATGATAGGTGGTTCATGATTAAAGATACTACATGCAATAATATGATAAAATATTTTGAACAACTTTATGCTAATAAATTTAAGAGCTTAGGTAAAATAACAAAGTTGCTAAAGAACACAAACTTCCAAAGTTCACTCAAGAAGAAAAAGAAAACCTGAATAATCCTGTTTTAAATAAATTGAATTTATAGTTTAAAACCTTCTCACAAAGAATACTCAAAGCTCTAATAGCTTCACTAGTGAATTCTATCAGATGCTTAAGGAGTAAATACCAACTTTACACAAACTCTTCCAAAAAATAGAAGAGAACACATCAATTTTATTCTATAAGGCTAGAATTGACCTGATACCAAAACTAGACAAAGACATTAGGAAGTAAATGGAAGGGAAAAAAATGAGAAAAAAAAAAACTAGAGACCATTATCCCTCATGAACACAGGCACAGTAAGTGCTAATTTTTTAGCAGATTGAATCTGACAATACAGGCATATGTTGTTTTATTATACTTTAATGTGCTTCACATATACTGTGTTTTTTACATTGAAGATTTGCGGCAACCCTGCACCAAGAAAGTCTATAGTTACCATTTTTCTAACATGTGCTAACTTAATGTCTCTGTGTCACATTTTGGTAATTCTCACAATTTTTCAAATTTTTCCATTGTTATTACATTTGTTACAGTTATCAGTGAGCAATGATCTCTGATGTTACTGTTGTAATTGTTTTGGGGTACCATGACCTCCACCCATATGAAACTATGAACTCAACTGGTAAATGTTGTGTGTGTTCTGACTGTTCCACCACCTGGCCCCCATCTCTCTCCCTTTCCTAGGGCCTCCCTGTTCCCTGAGACACAATATTAAAAGTAAGCCAATTAATTACCCTACAATGGCTACTAAGTGTTGAAGTGAAAGGACGAGTCACATGTCTCTCAGTTTAAATCAAAATCTAGAAATGATTAGTCTTCATGAGGAAGGCATGGAGAAAGATGGCATATAGGCTCAAAGCTAGGGCTTTTGCACCAAACAGACAAGTTGTGAATCCAAGGAACAAGTTTTTGAAGAAAGTTATAAGTGCTACTCCAGTAAACTCCCAAATGGTAAGAAAGTGAAAGAGCCTTATTGCTGCACGAGGAAAGTTTTAGTGGTCTGCATAGAAAATCAAACCCACCACAACATTCCCTTAAGCCAGAACCTAATCCAGAGCAAGGCCCTAACTCTCTTTGATTTTATGATGCTGAAAGAGTTGAGGAAGAAAAGCTGGAAGCTAGCAGGGTTTGGTTTATGAGAGATAGGGAAAGAAGCCATCTCCATAACACAAAAGTGTGAGTGAAACACCAAGTGCTGATGTAAAAGCTGTAGAAAGTGACCCAGAAGACCTAGTTAAGATCATTGATGAAGGTGGCTACACTAACAGATTTTCAATATAGATGAAACAGCTTTCTATTGGAAAAGATGCCCTCTAGGACTTTCATAGCTACAGAGGGTAAGTCAATGCCTGATATCAAAGCTTCAAAGGACAGTCTGACTTTCTTGTTAGGGGTAATGCAGCTGATGACTTTAAGTTAAAGCCAATGTTCATTTGCCATTCTGAAAATCCCAGGGGCCTTAAGAATTATGCTAAATCTATTCTGCCAGTGCTCTCTAAATGAAACAGCAAAGCCTGGATGTCAGCACATCTGTTTACAGCATGGTTTGCTCAGTATTTTAAGCCCACTGTTAAGACTTACTGCTCAGAAAAAAAAGATTTCTTTCAAAATATTACTGCTTATTGACCATGCACCTAGTCACCTAGGAGCTCTGATGGAGGCTCTGATGGTGATGTACAAGAAGATGAATGTTGTTTTCATGTCTGCTAACACAACACCCATTCTGCAGCCCATGGATCAAGAGTAATTTCTACTTTCAAGTCTTATTATTTAAGAAATATATTTTGTGGCCAAGGGTGGTGGTTCACACCTATAATCTCAGCACTTTGGGAAATTGAGGCAGAAGGATAGCTTGAGGCCAGGAGTTCAAGACCAGTGTAGGCAACATAGTGAGACCCCTATCTCTAAAAAAATAAATAAATAATAAAATAAAAATAAAGTAATGCATTTTGTAAGGTTATAGCTGCCGTAGATTGTGATTCGTCTGATGGATCTGGGTAAAGTAAATTGAAAACCTGCAGAAAGGACTCACCATTTATGATGTCATTAATGAATTCATGATTCATGGAAAGAGGTCAAAATGTTAGCACTAACAGGAATTTGGAAGAAGCCAATTCCAAACCTTATGAGTGACTGATTTTCATGGGTTCAAGATGTCAATGGAGGAAGTAACTTCAGATATGGTGCAAGTTAGAAGAAAACTGGAATTCAAAGTGGAACCTGAAGATGGAACTGAATTGCTGCAATCTTACGATAAAACATAAGGATAAGGATAATGTTTTTTATGAATGAACAAAGAAAGTGATTTCTTGAGATGTAATTGATTTCTAGTAAAGATGCTGTGAACACTGTTGAAATGACAACAAAGGATTTAGAGTATTACATAAACATTGTAGATAAAGCAGTGACAAGGTTTAAGAGGATTGGCTCCAATTTTCACAGATGTTCTACTGTGGGTTAAATGCTGTCAAATAGCACTGCATGCTACAGAGAAATCCTTTGTGAAAGGAAGAGACAATCAACATCGCAAAATTTGTTGTCCTATTTTAAGAAATTGCCACAGACACCCCAACCTTCAGCAATCACTACCCTTATCAGTAAGCAGCTATCAATACTGATGCAAGACCTTCTACCAGCAAGAAGATTATCACTCGCTGAAGGCTCAGATGATCATTCACATTTTTTTAGCAATAAAGTATTTTTAACTAAGGAATCTACTTGATTTTTTTAACATAATACTATTGGACACTTAATAGATGACAATATAATGTAAATACAACTTTTGTATGCACTGGGAAATCAAAAAAATTATGTGACTGACTTTATTGCAATATTTGCTTTATTCCAGTTGTCTAGCACCAAGCCTGCGATATCTCTATCGCAGAACCTGTCTATAGAACCTGCCTATAAAAAGATAATGCATCATAATCAAATAGGGTTTATCCCAGCAGTACAATGTTGGTTAAACAATTGAAAAGCAATCAATGTAATTCACCCTATTAACATACTAAAACGAAAATTTTAGGACAATCTTAATAGATGCATTAATAAATGTGACAAAATACTAATTCTTGAGAAGAATGACTATGAAATTAAGAATAGAAAAGAACTTCCTCAATTTGCGAAAGGGCATATTTGAAAAACTTGCAGCTTGCATTTACTTATTGGTGAAAGACCTTGTATGATCAAGAACAAGGAAAGGATTCCCTCTTCCACCACTTCTATTCAACATTATACTGACTGTCCTTGCCAATAAGAAACAAAGTAAGAAATAAATGGCAGACAGGCTAGAAATAAATAAAACTTTATTTGCAAGCAACATGATCATCTGTGTAGAACATCCTAGTAAGTCTGTAAAAAAGATACTACAATTAATAAATGAATTTAGTAAGATCAGCCGTTAGAAGGTTAATATAAATAATTGTATTTACATATACTGACCATTAGAAATTTTAGCTTAAAACTATGATATCATAAAAATGTGAAATACTTATAGATAAATTTGATAAAAGATATATGAGACTTGTACACTGATAACTATAAAATATTGTTGAGAGAAATCAAAGATGATTAATACAGGTACAGATATGTCATCACCATTGATTGGAAAACTCACTAGTGTTAGTATGTTAATCACCTACTAAATTATGTATAGCTTCAACACAATTTAAATCAAAATTCCAATAGAAATTTTCATGTATTACTGGTAGAAATACAAAATAGTATAGCCTCTTTGGAAGTTTGTTACAATGTTAAATATAGATTCACTCTACGACTCAGCAATTGCAATCCTAGGTATTTACCCAACTGAACTGAAAAATTACATTTACACGAAATCCTAAAGCAGCTTTATTTATAATTGCCAAATGGTGGAAGTAGCCAACTCAATAAGACAAATAATTCAATAAAAAATAGGCACAAATATAAATAGAATTTGACTAAACAACACATAGGGATTCCAAATTAGCACATGCAAAAATACTCAATATTGTTAGTCATTAGGGAAATGCAAACTAAAGCCACAAGGAGATGCTACTACACACCTCAGTAGAAGAGCTAAAATTACAAATAATGACACCACTTAGTGTTGGCAACAAACTCATACACATGGCTGGTGGAAATGCAAAATGATTAAGCCACTGTGGAAAACAGTGGCATTTAGTATTTGTTACAACTATTTGTATAGACATGTATTTTCATTTCTCTTGCATAAATTCATAGGAGTGGAATGGACCAGGGGGCTTTCCTAAATAGTGGATGATGAATTACATGGTAACAATGTAAAGAAATAAGTACCTTCCCAGAGTTAGAAAATAAGGGAGCCAAACAATGAAAAGCAGGAAAGTGAACAGTGATGCCTGCAAAACAGGAATGGTGAGGGAATTGGTGTGGAATACTGGAAAAAGAACAGATCCAGTGTTGGGTAAAATAAATGATTCTATTTTCTAAGATAAACTAGAGGGGTATGGCCCTTGAAAGGGACTGAGGAGAAGAGCTGACGCTCAGTTAACTTGTAACTGCACAGCCTTTCCAAATTGGTCCTGAGCCAATAAGCAATCCCAGAAATATAATAAAAAATCAAACACCTGCAAAAGGCATGAGATGTTACCTTCCAGGAGGTCAGGATGTAGTCCACTCCTGATTCACAAAACCCGACGTGGTTTCAGGAGCTCTTGCTGCCACGAGGAAGTCTTTCTAGGCTGAGCCAGTCCTATGGGTCCACAGACACACAGCGTGGTGGGTTGTGGGATAGGACTGGGCACATGCAGGAATCAGTCATTTTATTGGCTGAAGCATAAGGTGTATAAAGGGGAAAATTAGACTGAATAGGTAAATTGAGGTCCAACTAAGAAGGACCCTGAGTGCCCTCTCTCTGATTTCTATTTTATATTTGGTGCTTAATACCAAGATTTCCCAGTTGGAAGAGTAGAGAGAGACATTATATTAATAAATGTGTAACTGCATGGCCAAAACATTCTATAGTGAAATGTAGCTGTGTCTAATTATTTTTGGGCTACACATTGCTGTTGGCATTCATTGCAAGCTACAAGTGCCATAACTAGGCTTTACTATAGGAATCTAAGTGTGTGGATCTATCTATCTAATGCAGGAGTATCTGTGTTACTGTGAAGGAATGACTTAGAAGACAGAACCCAGTCCCCTTCATGCCTTTGCTCACAGAATTTTTGTTTGTTTGTTTGTTATTTGTTTTTTGTTGTTGTTGTTGTTGTTGTTTTTCTTTTGAGATGAAGTTTGCTTCTTGTTGCCCAGGCTGGAGTGCAATGGCGCGATCTCGGCTCACTGCAACCTCTGCCTCCCAGGTTCAAGTAATTCCCCTGCCTCAGCCTTCCGAGTAGCTGGGATTACAGGCATGCGCCACCACACCCAGCTACATTTTTGTGTTTTTAGTAGTGATGGGGTTTCACCATGTTGGCCAGGCTGGTCTCGAACTCCTGATCTCAGGTGATCCACCAGCCTCAGCCACCCAAAGTGCAGGGATTACAGGTGTGAGCCACCAGGCCCGGCCATCATACAGTTTTCTTTGCCCAGAATATCCACTCCCTGAGTCCCTTCATACCTACATCTTATGGTTTAGTGGTTAAGCAAAGGGCCTGTGGAGTAGGGGAAGGTCTGTTCACATAAGAGCTCAATACATGTTAGCTATTGCTATTAATACTCATCCTTCCAGCTCAAATGCCAATCCCTTGATAATCTCCCTTTCATATTCCCCACATCTCTCCCTCCCAAGCTAAAAATCCATCTCTCCTTCCCTTCTAAGAATCCATATCAATTTGTCAATGTCTACTTTTAATTTGGCACTCCAATAATCTATGTAAGTTCATTATCCCCCTTGCTAGATGGTGAGCTTCTTGAAAGCAAGGTCCATATCTCCTCCTTCATGCCCCTCATTTTGGCTGAGATGCCTTACAGTAGGTGTCATAGTGAATGTTTGTGGATCATGAAGCCACAAAAAGGCACTACTTATCTTTTAACGATATTTCTTGCTCTTGGTACGGAAGCTGAGAATTGACAGTATGTGAAAGTTAATGACCATTATAAAAGTGTTTTCCAATGTACCAGGGTACTCATATTTGAAAGTAAGTTGCCCTCTCCATATTGCAAAATCAAAAAACAACAATACATAGAGAAATCTGCACATTCATACAATGTGTGATAGCTACCCTGATTTTGCAGAGATGTCAAGGAAAAGCCACCTCATTTTTTTTTGGCTGAGGAAACATATGCTATTCATCAGCGTAATTTTTATGAGAGATAACTTTAAGAACCCCACATTCTTAAAGAAAACCCTAGTAATTGTTTTTTATTTATTCTAAATTACAAGAGGCAAAATTTATTACTAATTCCTCAATTATTTCATTATGCAGCACTAATAAAAAAGTCTTGACATCTCAATTATGTTTAGCAAAGAATCATATAATTTAATAAATAATTTTTGACTGAAGCAGTTATTTACTTAAAACATAGAATATGCAGGAGGAAACTTAAATCATTTTTCCTGTGCCATATAATAAAATAATTGTGCAATTAGTAATAAACAGTGTGCAAGAATGACAAACGTTTTATTTAAAACTTGGGGAACAAAAGCACATCACTTGTGCTTTTTTCCAAGCGAAAAAAATCCTATGGTATATTAATCAAGGGGGCTTTTATATGCCTCTGGCAGCAGTGTTTTAAAGTAAACCTTTAATATCAGATCCCAATCCCCAGTTTCAATTTGCTTCCAATGGAAAGGACATTAGAGTTTATAAAATACTCCTTGATTACTTTTTTGAAGGCCTGAAATCTTGACATGTCCGTGACTTGCTCACACTGCATCAATATACAGTGGTTGAAAGAGCAATACCCATCGTGAACATTGCCACATTGACTTATAGAATCATGCCCTTGAGAAAAAGCCTGAGAGTAAAAAGGAGCACCAGGCAGTGACAAAAATGAAATAGAACTGTCATCTGGCAGTTCTTCATAGTCCGTCAAGGAAACTATTAAAGATGTACAAAGAGCCAGAGAGTGCTTGGGCAAAGGCTGTTAAACCACCACTTCAAGGGCAGGTCACTGCAGGCTGCTCAAGACTTAGTGAGGAGACCAGCCAGTGCTCACTAAGGACTGTGGCGCCTGCCGTTTGTGCCTGTCCCTTGCTGGCAGAGGAAATGGAGCTTTTTCTCATCCCCTGGTAATTCAAACTGAGGACTTTAAAATAAACTGTAAGTCAATTCTCAAGTAGATCCTTTTTTTTAGTAACAGAATGGAGATTAATTTTTGGACTGGTTCAGGAATTATATTAAAAACCTGTCTGGTGTTATTTAAGCCAAGTTCAAATATCGGTTTGGCCCATTGCCAATTTGTAGCACCTTAGCCAAATTATTTAGCTTCTCCAAGCCTCATTTTCTCCTTTTTCACACACAGGATGTATGAAATCTGAACTTTTTATTTTGTTTTTCTCTCATTTCCATCTGCTATGTTTTTCTTATGGAACTCTTCTGTTACCCCTTCTGTGTCCCCCTCATTTGAGAGTTTCCTAAATCCTAAATCCCTTAGGTCACATGTGCTTTGCTGTTCGACAGCTAGTTGTTCTGAAAGTAGCAGGACATTATGGAGATTGGGGAGCTTTTAAGTAAACTTCTCCCTTTAATCAGCACCCTACACACACACACACACACACACACACACACACACACACACACACACACACGAGGTGTTCATGTGTTTTTCCCTGGAATCATGCATACCTGTTTTCTAGAGAGACTATCATTATTCCTGAGGCCTCTGTTTATCCCTCAAATTATTCTAATAGCCAGAATTTCACCTAGGAAAGGAGGAGCAAATGCCACATCCAGGCATTTAAGAGAGCAAATACCGCATCCAGGCATTTATTTGGGAAAAGTAAAGCCTTTTCTTTCTGTTTATATCGCCCAGTATAGATCCTTATTACACAAAGTAGAATTGGGGAAATTATCTAAAAATAGAATGCATTTAAATGTCATGCTAATGGCACATGTATACATATGTAACAAACCTGCACGTTGTGCACATGTACCCTAGAACTTAAAGTATAATAAAACTATATAAATAAATAAATAAATAAATGTAATGCTAAGTAATATATAGCTGAGAAACACACGTTCACCCTACATTTCCTTATAATCTAGAATTCAAAATAAAAAAGGAAGTAAATTATAAAGAATTACTATCAATTGAAAGTAAATAAGACATCTTGAATATGGAAGACAATACAAAATTATAATTCAGTTTAAAGAAATTAAAAGATTGGATTCAGTCACATGTAGTAATTAAATCCCTAATGTGAGTATAGGAATATTGGAAGTTGAAATTGTATTGTGTTTTTTGCTGTAACAACAATCAAAATTCTTGTGGCCGTTTTAAGCTCAAATCCCTTTATTTTGGGTAAGGGAGCAATGCTGTTCACAGACCTCTCTAGAAGACATTTTGCTTCTAAATGCAATTTAGAGTGTTCATATAATCTGAGGCAAAGCAGGAAGTTTTTAAAGTCATTTTTGGGTAGGAGAAGAGTTTATTCCCATCTCCTTTTCTATCCATTTTAACCATTTCTAACTCTTAATTATAACCTGCTCTTAGTTATCCCAAAGACTTTTTTTTATATAAAGAGTACCATGTCTAGAATAACTGTTGACTTTCATTCTAATGGAGTTTTCAGCTTCTACTACACTAGCTATAGTTTAGGGAGTTATTTTAGAGGTATTTCTCTTATTATTCTCATATCAAAAAAGTATACTATAGACTTATATTAACGTAAGGATACTATAGATTTACAGCAATAAGCTTTCTTACAGTTTCACTAATTTCTCATGCAGACAGGCCTTTTTTTTTCTTGTTTTGAGATGGAGTCTTGCTCTATTGCCCAGGCTGGAGTGTAGTGGCATGATCTCAGGTCACTGCAACCTCCACCTCCCAGGTTCAAGTGATTCTCCTGCCTCAGCCTCCTGAGTATCTGGAATTACAGGCTTTCACCACCATGCCTGGCTAATTTTTGTATGTTCAGTTGAGATGGGTTTTCACCATGATGGCCAGGCTGGTCTTGAACTTCTTGACCTCAGGTGATCTGCCTGCCTTGGCCTCCAAAAGTGCTGGGATTATAGACGTGAGCCACTGTGCTTGGCCAGGATGACTTTTTTTCTTAATACTATGATTCCCCTATATTCTGGCAAGACCAAACTACACCATTTTAACCCAAAATGTTCTATTTCTCCTAACATTAGGAGATATATGATAGAATTCAATTTACAAACTTGGCTACATACATAACTACAACAAATAATATAATACCAAAAACATCAGTTACAAAAGCATAATATGAGTCATTTCCTGCTGAATGGAAGGTTTGGAAATCTGCCATATAATCTAATTTTTCTTGAACAGATCATCTGGGGGCTATCATCATGATTGTCACTAAATACTTTTACCAGAGACCCAAAGCTTATGCATTTAACAGAATGGTCTCTTCCAGAAGAACTGATTCTGCCTTTTATAAATTTACTTTCCAAAATGGATGAGAGAATAGGCACAAATACCATTTAATTCACAAATTATAATTTTGGGGTTTTTTTTCCAGAGCGTTGCTTTAAAAAATGTTTCTTTTTTTTTCATTTCCCAGTTTATATAATCAATAAGTTCTTTCTCTTTTAAAACAATACAATGTACATTGTTCCCGACTGCACATCATGACCAAAAAGAGAGTGAGATACATATAAAAATTTAGCAAAGCTATAGAAGCCATTGTTCATTTCAGTGATCACTTAATACTGAAGTTTCGTATTGGCTGATAGGCCGCCAAATTCTAGAAATTGTATGCAGGTAATGATGATAATAATGAGAAAGAGGAGAAGAAGGAGAATGAATGCACTTTGTATGAGTAGTTCACATATGTAATCATATTTAATATTTATACAAACTTTTTGAGGCAGATATTTTCTTCTTTTTACAAATGAGGAAACTGAGGCACAGCAAGTAACCTGTGTGAGGTCCCATAGTGAGTAGGTCCCATAGCCAGTCAGTAGCAGAACCAAGATCCTGAATCCTGGACTGTTTAATTCTAGACCTTTCATTCTCAATTTCTGCACTTATAAATTGAAGATATAAGAAATGCGCACATAGAAAAGTTCATGAACATGGCAGTAGAGTACTGTGGATCCATTAAAATACCAACTTCTAGAATAGAGAGATTACCCCAGGTCATGTTTTTTTTATGCCAATTGTGTAATGTGGGTATAACTGTAAAGGTGATTTATGAAAGATGAGAGTACAGTGAGCTGGCACTGTTACAACAGAATGTTTAAAGAAGGTGGAACTTGAGAATGAGCAAAATCTTTATCAGCTGAGATTGGAGTATAGGAGTTGGAGATGGTACACCAGAAATACACTGATTATGCACATGGGTAAAAATTGCACATATATATCTTTGGTGAAGGGATAGCTGTGAAACCATTTCAAATAGCATCCTAATCACTATTACATTATAATTTAATCCCAAATATTGCATGGGACATACTTGTATTAAGAAATATTTTTTATCGGAAATTGAAATTGGGGCATGTGCTACTTTTCTTTGCCAAATCTGGCAATCCTATATACACATTTACCTGATTTTTATTAACATCTAGCTGCTTCAGCCCTGCCCCCCACCCCACCACATACTGGAATATATATTCCATCAGCTCAGGAACCTCATCTATCTATCTTGTTCCCCCACCATATCCTCCATATGTAGAACAGTGCCTGGCCTTGGTATAATAGGTGCTCAATGGATGTTGTGAATGAAAAGGAAAAAGGTTTTGTATTAAGTATTTATTTGTTTAATTAAATTTCACAGTTACCATGTTTGATAGCAGAGGGACAGAAAAAGAAATTTAAGGTTGAATTGGATAATGAAGGATGGGGTGCAGGGAGGCAGTAGGTATGAAAATATAAACCTAGGTAAACTGGAAAGTAGAAAATGTAACAGCATAAACAGAGGGGCTTTTGAGAGATGGGTAAGGAAGAGGGGGCTAAGCCCTTACCTGGGAGGAGTGGGAGGGAAGAAAATAGAGTTTTATTAATGGAGATAGGAAAAAATGAGGGAAACAACACTGTTTTGTTGGTAATTTTAATGAAATAAGTAATGCAAACTCCTTAGAATTTTGGTTAAGGACTATAATTTTTAAAAGATATAGAGAGAGGCCCTTCTAACCTATTATGGATCTTGATGTGCATGAAAAATGACATGAGTAGCAACAGATGTTCTCCTTATAACTTTTTTTCCCCACAATACCAAGATGGATTAGAAATGTGCAAAACAAAAGATTCAAACTCACCCAAATTCTTCTAATTCTCTAACTGCAGTAACAGGGCTGTAACCAATTTTCCTTTTAAGTTTAAAAAGGGGGAAATAATTTTATCCAGATTAGTACTGCCATCTTTCAGCCCATGCAATATAATACTATAGAGTTACTCTTAAACTAAAAAGTCAAATTTAAGTTGCGGACACAATTAGGCTATTTAAACCATGGTTCTGATAGATGTATTTAGAAGTTTCACAACCAAGATAGAATAATGCAAATTTTCCCATATTCATTAATTTGAAAAGTCATATTTATTTAAACTATTGCTCTCGTGGTTTTTTCTTGTACATTTGGCATCTGCCACTCTTCGTCTATGGGAGAATCTAGCATAAGATGGCATCTGATTTAGCACAAAATGGTACATTACATAATTTTAAGCTTTATATGTCAACAATTTATGATGTTCGGTAAATGCCATCATGATTTCCAGATGCTTCACCACCTGAATCAGATTTAAATCATGGCAAAATCTTTGATACAGATGCTTGAGAAATAGAGAGGAGTACATATGTTCAAATATGTCATCTCAGCTCAAGCTCAAAGAATACCTTCTCTCCAGCCAGGCTGCCAGTTTGGAAATGCATTAGTTGTCACTTGTATGAGAGCTAAAAAAAAGTTGATCTCATGGAGGTAGAGAGTGAAGTGATAAGTTACCAGAGGCTGCGAAAGGTGTGTGGGTTGAAGGAGAGATGAAGAGAGGTTGGCCAATGGGTACAAACATACAGTTAAATAAAAGTTATAAGTTCTAATGTTCCATAGCAGAGTATGGTAACTATGGTTAGCCACAATATATTGTATATTTCAAAGTGTGTAGAAGAGAGAACTTGAAATGTTCCCAACACACAGAAATGATAAATACTTACACATTCTATGCATGTAACAAGATATCACATGTACTGCATGAGTATGTAAAAGATTATGTATCAATAAAAACATAGATCCTCCCCAGTGGGAACTGAATCCTACTCTCTGTGTTAGTGCAGCAACATTTACCTGTGTTAGTGCAGCAACATTTACCTGAGGGCCACCAAAGGGAATAGTTATCTTCATTGTCATAAGAAATACTAGTAGACAGAAATTAACAACTTAATCAAGTCAAATTACCAAAGAACTACCAAACAACTGGTTTGTGCAAGGTAAGGTGTCCTGAAGGTTACAAAGAAGTGAAAAATACAATGCCTGCCCCCAACGAGCCCAGAGCCCAGTTGGCAAAATGCCATGTAAAGATAACCAGGTTAACAGTACAATACTTAATGAGATATCAATTTAAGAGATGGTGAGAAGATACACATATATGCACTTTGACAATATATCACCACACAAATTTGAAATGAGAAAAGATAATGGTCAAAGGAGAAATGCAAGAAATGAAAAGAGAAGAGAAGAAAGATGAGAAATGGAGAAATATTTCCAGCTTCTGCCTACCCATGTGTTATAGAGTTCAGTGACTGCCCCATTACAAATTTCATTATCTTTACTATTTGATTTATAAATTTAAATTCATTTCTTGGTTTTATCATTGCTTGTGGTCAGTACTACCTACTAAGAACTAGTCTATCTACTAAAAATAAATTATAAAGAGTATCAAGACCATGTTGGATCTACCTCCTCAACCCAGCAGAGAGTTGGAAATACAGTAGGGGCTCAGTAAATGGTGAATTAGTTAGTTAACCAAATGGTGAAATACTATTTCTGGTCAGGCACAAAGCTGTGATCCACATATGTATACATTAGGTAGAATTTACCAGAGCACATTTTATAAAATATTCAGTTAGATGTACCATAGAGGGACAACTTCTGAGTTGAAATATATTTGGAAAACATACAATCTCCCTCATAGATATTCACCATGCATGTTAACATTAAGGGTTTAAATTGTGGTTTTATTCTAGTTCCAGAAAGGAAAAAGTTGCCAGGCAGCTAAGACACTTGAAATTAAAAAATATTTACTACCTTTGTTATGAATAAAATCGAGAAGGGAGAATTTCATAAAACATAAATCTGATTTACATATAATTATTTGGTACATATTTTATTGGTAATATGGTCATTCTATGGCATTCAAGGAATACATAAATCATAGAGTTTAGTAGCCTTTTTTGGCTTTAAAACATTCTATTTAATGCCTAAAATAAATTTCTGAGTTAGTAAAATCTTTAAAACAGTAATAAAATCTGGAAGGGAAATGTCAAAGGGGAGTTTCATGTACTATAGTTATATACACACTACACATATATGTGGGAGAGACCGAGTATGTGACAAGAGGTCAAGTCATCTTTGCACACCTGGATTAGTTGGGCAATCACATGAAATACAAATTCATCATCTAGCACAAATGTATGTGGGGCCATAATCAACATCATATAAACTTAAATAATTATGTTCTGCAAAGCAGGTACAGAATAGTCCCAATCATAGCGGTAAACATCAAGAAAGTCACTTCTTCTTCTCTCTTATAAATTTCATGAAGGAAGTCTTGCATTTAAGCTCTGTTGTTGCAATTAAGTGTGCTATCTGGATATCTTCAATTATCTTCTTTATTTCTGAAAACTGAATACATTGTTGACAATGACACAAGCATTTCCACAAATTACAAATTATTAGATAAATGTTCAATGGTGAGTGACTGAGGGTCTTGGGGCTAATACTTCAATGAATGAGATATAAAAGCAGACTCTTTCAGTTTCCTGACTAGCTGGTGAGAGATATTTTTATTTTTGAAATCCCTATTCCCCAGCTTAGTTCTTGTTATTAATTGTTTTGAGTGCTTTTTCAGAAAGTGTGACTCACTTAATTTTTAAAATAAACAAACCATGTCTGTTTTAGTTTTGTATTCCCAGTCCCTAGATCAAAGCTAGATATTATCCTAGGTGCTCAATATCTAGTCATATTCAACAATGAATGTCAATGGACCAAAGAGCAACTAACTTCTGGCTACCCATTCCATAATATTTGGGAGGAGTAGTAAAAGTTCTCTGTGATTGATAATATTCTCAGAAATGCACACAGCATCTTCCTGAGTTAATTAGGAAACTAGGGAGATCCTGTGTACAAGTTGCTTATCAGATATATTTTAGGGTTATGGTAAATGTTAGTGGAAGTTCCATAAAAACCATCTACAAATCTCTACTTCTGCTTAACTATTTAGATGGTGTAAAGCACGACAGGACATAGTACCCCAGTACCTCAAGACAGTGTTTACCACCATTATCACTAATGGAACATCATGATTGCTAAATCCCCAAAATCCTGGAGTATCTTATGACTGCACTTGCAGTCCATATGGCCTCAGTGGATTGCCATGGCACTGCCTGCTTTCACTTAACTTAAGCATGATTTTCCATTAAATGCATTGAGTTTGACAAAGTTTTATTTAATAAGTATTTTCTATGGGCCAAAATATCTGCTAGTTACTATACCTGACCAAGCATTTCTTCTTGAGAACTTATAATCTGGAATAGACAAAGTTTTAAAATGCATATATGTCATAAAGGAATATAACAGCTATATTTTTTCATAATAATGCAGCATAACAAAGCATGCCTGTACTGAGTGCCTTAAAAATATAAGCATTTATTTCCTCCATGAGTCTGTGGGTCATTTATTTAGGGCTTGGCTGTCCAGCTCTTCTGATCTCGGCTGAATTTGCTCATATAGCCAAAAGTCAGCTGGCTACTGCTGATCTAGGATGCATAGGCTGGGATGGCTGGGGTGATTTAGTCCTGCTCTGTGACTCTCATCCTCCAGCATATTTTCATGGAAATTGCAGAAGAGTAACAGTCAAACAAAAGTAAGCACAGGCTCTCAAGCCTGTGCATGTGTTGCATCTGCCAACATCCCATTGACCAACCAAGTTCACATGGCCGAGCTTGTCATGGGAGTCGGGAGATTACAAATCACATAGCATAGAGTGTGGGTACAGGATGGGATGACTAATCGGATCCATTACTTCAATCTACCACTGGGCATAACTACTATGGAGAAACACCAAGCAGGGGAAAGGGATAGAAAGTGAAGGCATCAGGTAGCATGATGCCTCCAGCTTTGTTCTTTTTGCTTAGGATTGTCTTGGCTATGCAGGCTCTTTTATGGTTCCACATTAAATTTAAAGTAGGTTTTTCTAATTCTGTGAAGAAAGTCAATGGTAGCTTGATGGGGATAGCATTGAATCTATAAATTACTTTAGGCAGTATGGTCATTTTCACAATATTGATTCTTCCTATCCATGAGCATGGAATATTTTTCCATTTGTTTGTGTCCTCTCTTATTTCCTTGAGCAGTGGTTTGTAGTTGTCCTTGAAGAGGTCCTTCACATCCCTTGTAAGTTGTATTCCTAGGTATTTTATTCTCTTTGTAGCAATTGTGAATGGGAGTTCACTCAAGATTTGGCTGTTTGTTATTGGTGTATAGGAATGCTTGTGATTTTTGCACATTGATTTTGTATCCTGAGGCTTTGCTGAAGTTGCTTATCAGCTTAAGGAGATTTTGGGCCGAGACGATGGGGTTTTCTAAATATACAATCATATCATCTGCAAACAGAGACAATTTGACTTCCTCTCTTCCTATTTGAATACTCTTTATTTCTTTCTCTTGCCTGATTGCCCTGGCCAGAACTTCCATTACTATGTTGAATAGGAGTGGTAAGAGAGGGCATCCTTGTCTTGTGCTGGTTTTCAAAGGGAATACTTCCAGTTTTTGCCCATTCGGCATTATATTGGCTGTGGGTTTATCATAAATGGCTATTATTTTGAGATACATTCCATCAATGCCTAGTTTATTGAGAGTTTTTAGCATGAAGGGGTGTTGAATTTTATTGAAGGCCTTTTCTGCATCTATTGAGATAATCATGTGATTTTTGTCATTGGTTCTGTTCGTGTGATGGATTACATTTATTGATTTGCATATATTGAACCAGCCTTGCATCCCAGGGATGAAGCCAACTTGATCATGGTAGATAAGCTTTTTGATGTGCTGCTGGATTCGGTTTGCCAGTATTTTATTGAGGATTTTCACATCGATGTTCATCAGGGATATTGGCCTGAAATTTTTTTTGTTGTTGTGTTTCTGCCAGGTATTGGTATCAGGATGATACTGGGCTACAGTAACCAAAATAGCATGGTACTGGTACCAAAATAGATATATAGATCAATGGAACAGAACAGAGCCCTCAGAAATAATGCCACACATCTACAGACATTTGATCTTCGACAAACCTGAGAAAAACAATGGGGAAAGGATTCCCTGTTTAATAAAAGGTTTTGGGAAAACTGGATAGCCATATGCAGAAAACTGAAACTGGACCCGTTCCTTAAATATAATACAAAAACTAACTCAAGATGGATTAGACTTAAACATAAGACCTAAAACCATAAAAACCCTAGAAGAAAACCTAGGCAGTATCATTCAGGACATAGGCATGGGCAAACACTTCATAACTAAAACAACAAAAGCAATGGCAACAGTAGCCAAAATTGACAAATAGGATATAATTAACTAAAGAGCTTCTGCCCAACAAAAGAAACCATCATCAGAGTGAACAGGCAACCTGCAGAATGGGAAAAATATTTTTGCAATCTACCTATCTGACAAAGGGTTAATATCCAGAATCTACAAACAACTTAAACAAATGTACAAGAAAAAAACAAACGACCCCATCAAAAAGTGGCCAAAGGATACGAACACACTTCTCAAAAGAGGAAATTTATGTGGCCAACAAACATATGAAAAAAAGCTCATCATCACTGGTAATTAGAGAAATGCAAATCAAAACCATAATGAGATACCATCTCATGCCAGTTAGAATGGCGATCGTTAAAAAGTCAGGAAACAACAGATGCTAGAGAGGATGTGGAGAAATAGGAATGCTTTTACATTGTTGGTGGGAGTGTCAATTAGTTCAACCATTGTGGAAGACAGTGTGGCGATTCCTTAAGGATCTAGAACCAGAAATACCATTTGACCCAGCAATCCGATTACTGGGTATATACCCAAAGGATTATGAATCATTCTACTCTAAGGACACATGCACACGTATGTTTGTTGCAGCACTGTTCACAATAGCAAAGACTTCGAACCAACGCACATGCTCATCAATAATAGACTGGATAAAGAAAATGTGGCACATATATACCATAGAATATTATGCAGCCATAAAAAAGGATGAGTTCATGTCCTTTGCAGGGACATGGATGAAGCTGAAAACCATCATTCTCAGCAAACTAACAAAGGAACAGAAAACAAAACACCACATGTTCTCACTCATAAGTGGGAGCTGAACAATGAGAACACATGGACACAGGGAAGGGAATATCACACACTGGGGCCAGTCAGGGGATGGGGGTCTAGGGGAGGGATAGCATTAGGAGAAATACCTAATGTAGATGATGGGTTGATGGGTGCAACAAACCACCATGGCACATGTATACCTGTGTAACAAACCTGCATATTCTGTACATGTATCCCATAAAATTTTTTAAAAAAGAAAGAAAGTGAAGGCATCAGGGAAGGAGCCAAATCAGGTGACATTTGAGCAGAGATTTGAATCAAGTGAGGTAGAGAGCTATGTGCATAGTTGGGAAAGAGAATTCCAGATGGGGGCAGTGAAGAAAAGTGACTCCAAATGCCATGAAGCCATCTTGTATTTGGTGTGATTAAGAGACAGTAAGGAAGGTAGAGCAGGGAGAGAGGAAGAGTGTGGCAGGAGATGAGAAAGGGAGCAGGAGGTCAAATGAACATCCAAGGAAAGACCAGGCAGGGCTTGTGGACCCTGGCAGGGACATTGGCTTTAATGATGAGTGAGACAGAACACCACTGGAGGGATCGTGAACAGAGGAATGACTCCATCTTAACTTTGTTTTTTAAACCTTCTCATTTCTGTAAGGAAGACCAATTTTAGGGAAGCAATGGTAGAAGCACAGAGGTCAGTTAGGAGACCATGTTCCTAATTTATCAGCAACATGATGGTTGATGAGTTACGAGTATAGTGTAAAGATGGTGAGTTGGTATGATATTTGGATACCTTTAAAGTAGTGATAAGAGGATTTACTAAAACTTGAGGCTGATGTGCTAGTTGAGATTACACATGAACATATACACATATTTTCAACTACTCATTAAGATATGTGCATAGTTAAAACAAAAAAATGATCATCCTTGTAGCACCTAAAATCATCCAGTTCCTCTAGAAGGTGGTACGTAAGGACTGCACCTTGGAAAATACTGTCTCTACACATTTAGATGGATCATCCAGGTTAAAACTCCAAAATGAATTAGATGGTCAACAATTCTTGGATTAAAAGTTCACAGACTATTAAATTCTATTGATGACTGAAAATATAAACTCAAATGACAAATTTGTTGTACTAGAACCTGGCAAATGGAAAATTTTCTTCCTTTGTTATTAAAAAAGCAAATGCTTTCTAAGTCTTTATGATTTCCCCATTATCACGGAAATTTGACATTGGTTTCTCACATCAGGGAATTTTTCTCAAAGTGTTTAATAACCTAGGCTTTATTTCCTTGATTTATTATGTTTATAACTTGGAAAGCTCCCAAGGTTTCTCCCTTGTAGGAACAGAAGTACACACAAATCTCAAAATAATAAGCACTTCCTACTGTAAGGAAAGGTGCTATGGAAATGTAAAGAGAACAGGGTACCACCACTTCCCAAGATTGTAAGACTCTCAATATATTTTATTCTTGCTGTCACTTTATTTTATGAAAATGAAAGGTACTTTTTACAGGTATTAAATTTTCATTTTGCCCCAGAAACAGTGAAATTCTCTATAAAAATTATAAGTTTCCACAGCAGCAACTTCATAAAAATGTATGATCTTGCCCCTCAGGGTGCCTCCTCACTTGTTTGAAATGAAAAGCTGTTTGTACTCATGGTTGGAAATACACACATCAGGAAAAATTAATCATGCAAATATTTGCAAAGCAGGAACAGTAATTGTTTGGAGCCTCAGCAGTGAGCTGCTGCACACCACCGCAGATAGGAATGTTGGAGGAGAACTCCAAACGACAACTCCTTTGGCCGAAGACAGCCAGGACAGAACGCCAATCTTACAGACTGGTAACTATCAAAAGCATCCTGGGTATGTTCCCTTAGGAATTGAGTTTTGACAGTCATATTGCCAAGTATTATTAGAGTTGAAATAATTTTTCTTAAACATCTGCAAGTGGCACTGTGGTAGACAGGATTTAAAAATTAGAACTGGCACTTTGGTATCAGGTGGCTATTTGCTCTGGCAATGTTCTTCCCTGCTGTATTTAAGGCATGCTTTTATGAGGCTTCTGATTTATTTTGTTTTATAGTTTAAGGAAGAAGAGGCACTATCCTTTATTTTTTGTAAGATATTTAACATACTAAAAGAAAGTCTAACTTAAAATGAGATGTAATTATTGTTACATTAAAGGATGAGGAAGTTGACTGGTCCTATTGGAAGAATTTTTTTTTTTTTAATTTTTTTTGAGACAGAGTCTCGCTCTGTCACACAGGCTGGAGTACAGTGGTGTGATCTCGGCTCAGTGCCACCTCCGCCCCCCAGGTTCAAGTGATTCTCCTGTCTCAGCCTCCCGAGTAGCTGGGATGACAGGGATGTGCCACGACATCCGGCTAATTTTTGTATTTTTAGTAGACATTGGTTTTACCACGTTGGTCTGGCTGGTCTTGACCTCCTGACCTCAGGTGATCCACGAGCCTTGGCCTTCCAGAGTGCAGGGATTACAGGCGTGAGCCACCATGCCCGGCTGGAAGATTCTTACCAACAGCATTGGGGAGGGCTTAATGGCCCTATGTAGGTGACTGGAATATGATGCTGTGTTTATCTGGGTGCTGGACATAAGACCGTGCCATGAGACATACCTAAGAGGCAAACAACTCCTCATCTATGTGTCCACCTACAAATCTCTACCATAAGAGACAGAAGTAGGAATAGAGAGAGTTAATGTGATAGCAAATCAGAGGTTCCTGACAGGACTGACTACACAGTGTGTGGGGCGCTTTACAAAATAAAAGTGTGGGACACTTTGCTCAGAAGTTTAAGAATTTCAAGGTGGCAGCAGCAGAGATTAAGCAAACACATGGCCCTGTGTGACTGTACAGGTGACATTTTATCAATGAAGCTGGCCCTGATTCTTGATATAAGGAGTGTAGGCCTCAAATAATTCTGTGGCATCTTTTTTGGTATTTGGGCAAAACAGCTACAGGACATCTTGTATCTGGAAAGAGGGGACTGAGAGACTACTCATTTTGGTGAATTCAAGAAATGTATCTAGCAGTGCTTTCTGAATTGAGTATTTTGAAAACTATAGAATCTTTGTGTATTATTATTCAGTTTCCTATTTAAAATAGTCACCTTGGAGTAGGATTAAAGATAGGCTTAAATTTATTTAAGTGTGAGAAGTCTCCTGTATCCTATTTCTTAGAACTTTGAAGGCCAGGAGCAACTGCTAAGTCATCCAACAGCTTCAACTGCACCTGTGGTCATAATAACAATAAATACCATGCCTAAGAGAATGGTACTAAGACCCCTCCCTTGCTTCCCCTGATCCCAGATTTTCTCAGCTTGAAAAATTCTATGTAAATATATATTACTCATTTATGGTAGACGTTCCAAAGAAAGCATGAGAAATTACCAGAAACAATATAATAAACAACTCTTCAAAATAAAATAACACGAGAAAAAAGAAACAGTATTTTTAGGTATGAACTTTTTGTTTTTACTAAGTAAAACCTTCATTTACTTTCTGGTTTTCTTTTAGTGATGATACATGATTATTTCTTGAACATTCAAACCACTGAACACTGTCATACAATATATTCCCATAATTATAGTGATCGCTGTTTACAATGATCAAACTTCCTTGATGTGACAATGTCTGCCAATTTTTGAAGACAGAAAGGTATTTTGCTCTTTCATGTTGAGTCAATAATAAAAAATAAAACACAATTTCTCAATCAGGCTCCCCTTCACAAATCCAATCAGCTCAGGAATACTCTCACCTAAAAAACCAAGATTAACCAGAAATCCTTGAGATGACCCCCTCATCTTCCTACTGGGTCACTCAGTGTGTCTTCAAGGCTGACCATGATGACCAAGTTGTGCTGTTTTCACCCACATAAAGTGTTCCTGAAGGAGGGGGAGGAGATAGTGAGATGTTGCCTTGGTACCCACCTCTGGCAACACTCTGATCATGGTGTCAAACAGATTTTGAACAGTCAGCTCTCCATTATCTGCACTGTCAATCTTCTGCTATAAATCTTGTTTTCAAGTTCTGCTGGGATAATTGAGCTTGATATATGTGGGTACAGCTAACTATCTTTTGTTTATTTTTGCCTTCCCATGCAGCCTGCCACCCAGCAGGAGGCCCTTCAAAACTCAGTCAACTACCTTCACCAACCCAGGAAATGTGTGACAACTAAATATAGTCAAATCAAGGCAGCAGCAGTGAGTTCTATTTTGGCTGATTCATCATGTGAACCTATTATCCTTGGGATAGAGTCAGGTGGAGGGAGTGACTCAGCATTTAAGGAGTACAGTAGAGAGGTTGCACAACTTTCAGCTTCTCTGACTGACATCAGTGCATCATCAAATGGCTTCCTGATGGAGTTTGTTGTTCAGGCTTGGCTCCTGCCAAGAACACACTGCTCACTTCAGAAGCAACAGAAAGCAAGAAGGAAGTCACAATATCTAAGATTCTACTAGTTTCACAAGCATTATTATCAGAAACTTCCAAGACACATATACAATTTTTTTGCACGTGATTTTCACTTGTATTAAGCTCGTAGATGACCTCTTTTTACTGAAGATCACTTATTTCAGCCATTGTAATTCTTCATAGGATACTGGTCTGAGTGGGAAAAGCTAAAGAGCTAAAGAGAATCAGAAGGAAAGAAGGAGTCTCAGCCAGAGGCCTCAATGTCCATTTCCCATATGTGGAAATACCAGGCAAGTAGCCCCTGCTGTTTAAACCACTGATGCCATAGGGTTTTGGCCCTTTCTGCAATGACCGCTTAGAAGTTAAGAACTTAACTTGCTAAAAGTGCTACAAATTCACAGAACATACATTGTGAAGCCACATGATACTGGATTATCCTTGGTGCTGCTCCCTTCCAATTAGCCAGGTAATCCAACAAAGACAAAAATACATGCTGCCTGGCAAAGGATCTCGTCCAGGAAGAAAACTAACACTAGCACCATAATAAAGACTTGACTTTATCCTGACTAATTCACCTGAAATCCATTTACATTTTGATATCTTATACTGAATTCATTTTGATATCTGAAGGCTTTTATGTCTCTAGGGAATGTCAAATTAGCCCTGAGGAAGGGAAGTTCAAATCACAGAAGACAGTGTCTTTAGTCCAAAATGTTATGTGCAATGTCTTGTGCCTCCCACTCACCATTATTTATGAGACAATACACTTTAAACTTGCTAAAAATGGGCCCGGCATGGTGGCTCATGCCTGTAATCTCAGCACTTTGGGAGATCAAGGCGGGTGGATCACGAGGTCAGGAGATTGAGACCATCCTGGCTAACACAGTGAAACCCCGTCTCTACTAAAAATACAAAAAATTAGCCCGCGCGGTGGCAGGCGCCTGTAGTCCCAGCTACTCGGGAGGCTGAGGCAGGAGAATGGCATGAACCCGGGAGGCGGAGCTTGCAGTGAGCCGAGATCAGGCCACTGAATTCCAGTCTGGGCGACAGAGCACGACTCCGTCTCAAAATAAATAAATAAATGAATAAACTTGCTAAAAATGAGGAGACAACGCTAATCATCCAAACTAGACCTTTCTACTGCAGAGCAGAACTTTCCTATAGGCAATGCTGCAGACTTCTGAAAAGTTCAGGGACCCCTCAAATTAATAACATCAAAGGAAAATAGAGGCTTTAATCCTTTATTTTGCCAATCCAAAAGCATCAGATGGTATAGCCATAACTCTTGGCATCAACAAGGACTGTACACTTACCTACTCTATCTTGTTAGGACTTTTTTGGTCTTTCATATGACAATGACTTGCAATAGGTAATCACTGTCTTCTGGCAGGGAGTGAGACAGAAAAAAGGGGAAACAAGCCCCAGCAATTACTGTGCAGTACTCAAATCTGCCTGCCAACAGGAGAATAGTGATTTGTGAGACATATCAAGAGGTGCTGGCAAGATCAATCTGTGGAGATCCCTCTGATAGAGGAATAATGAGTTGACAAAGACCAGTGTTCAGTTGGGTCCAAGCCCAATAAGATTACTGTTCAGCATCATCAATATTGTCTCTGTTTGGAACTGACACAATCAGACTGGAATCAACTGTATTTTCCACAACACTGTCACACATGATTTTAAACTTTGGCTCACAACTCTAGAGGAGCTTGTAGATGTTGGCAGATTTTTGCCAACTTAAGGGATGTCATTATTAAGTAGGAGTTTCACCCCACAGTAATTTGTGGTTCTGTGTTTCTCTGAGGTCTACGTACTGAAAAGAGAAGACAAGGAGGAAGAGATGGAGGAGATAAGGGATTAAGAGATTTTTTTTTTGCTTAACCCCTCCCCCTTTTTTGTTTTTTTTAGTGTAATGACCAAATACAACATGTAAATGTGTAGGCTATTTCTTAGCGTCAGCTTAATTTAAGTTGGGGATCAAAGATTTTTCCTGAAACATAGAATCATGAAAATTTTTCAGCTCTGAAGCAATATAACAATAAAATTGTTATGTTTCATCATCAAAAGGCAGAAGGGATAAGTAGATGGCTCTGTCTAGAAAATATTAGAAGTTGTTCAAGGAGTTGGAAAATCTAATAAGCAATTTGATTCTTAAACAATTCCTGCAGTCCCCTCCAATGTGTTTTATAAGCCATTACTCCCACTACAGAAAGCTATCAACTTCATGTTTCCTGAGATCCATTTATTCAGCCCTGCCCATATGGCCATCCCAGACCTCTGATACTAGCCGAGTGATATAGCCATCCAGAAGCACCATGCGATACATGGCCACAGAATTAAATCCTGTGTAATTTAATAAGAGACAGGGCATGGATTTCTCTTTTGCTACAGGCGTACAGAACAATGACTGCTGGATCTTTCCCACTCTCCATCTAAATGTAAACTCTGTGAGCAGCAAGTGCTATAGAAAGACAACCAAATTTGCAGTGCCAGACTCCCCAGATCAATAGGTTTACACTTTACTCAACAAACTCAGGTCTTCAGACCATATTAAAACTGTCAGTAGTCCTGTCCCACCAAACTAATCACAGTCACTATAGGGTCTCTCACCCCACTTCAGGATGACATCAGTATTCTGTGATTTCATGCAAAGCAGACATTTACAGCGGTCTTTCTGGTCTGTGATTACCACCACTGACTATCTTCAAGCCCATGTGGTCCCTGAGAGGCAGGCTTGTGTCTATCTTCTTCAGCAGTATATCTTTGTGGAATTTGGTACCTTGGTAGCTGTAGCCCAGCCTTCTTAGGTGAATCACACCTAAGTCATTTCCCTTTGAAATCCTGTCTTCCCACCCTTAGGCCCTGTGCAGAAGGGGAAGCACCCACCCCAAGGTACCCTAACCACTGCTGCTTTGCCTCATGGGGAAATCACCCTTTCCTTTTCCTCCAAGGCTCTCACTTCTCTCCATTTCCTTGGGATAATCCCCTCAAAGAGTTCAGGTTAGAAAACAAAGCAGAAAAGGAACCTGTCCTTGGGTTATTTTTATTTTAACTCCATCACAAAGGGTCCCAGAACAAAAAGGTGAGGTTACCACCTCAAGGTGGGGTTGGAAAAATGAGAACAAAACACAAGTTAAAATCTCAACAAAATATTCTGTCAACCTCCAGCTAGGTGGCCTTGGAAAAGTCCCAGTAAAAAAAAAAAAAAAGTGCCAGTACCTCTAAGCCTCATCAAAATTTTAGATCTAAAAAAAAAAAAAAAAAAAAAAGAAAAGAAAAAAATATTTCTGGGGATCAAAAGAGGGCAGGCATGTGAAAATTTTTTTTGATGCTAAATATTAGTGGTAGCAGTTATTCTTGATTTTGTAATTTTGTAATGCCCCTTGCATAGCAGATACCAATTTGCAGCTGGGAGATGAAAGAGAGTCCAGTCTTCCATACACTATTTCTTACGTAGTTTGGATCTGGTCTGAGCAGACTGCTATACTGAGTTCCATGCTAACTAAAATCCCTGGAGACTTTGTAAAGGCATCACTTTCAGCACTCCTCTGGCTGACTAAGAAATGCCAGTGGCTCCATTAGGCAAACTCCCATAGGAACATCTCCATTCTCTGGGGTTCTCCCGACATCAGCTTGGCCTTAAAGATTATGAGCATCTAGGGAAGGAGTGGGGAAATGTCAGTGCGTGTGTTTGATTTGAATCTGTGTGTGCAGTATTGAAGACTTGAGTGTCCCTAAATGGTATTTAAATAAATGCCAATGTTCAGGGCTGGCTTTATATATAAGTGGGTTAGGCCTCTACCTATTTGACTTAAACACACCAAAGCATCCTCGGCTGGAAATGGAACTCCTATCAGGTAGTACTCCAGCCCTAGAAGTACTTTCTTTAAAAATGTTGAATTTGACTTGGTTAAGATATTGCTTCATACTTTCTTAGATAGACAGCAGCAAGAGTTGGCTTATCAGACCATCACACACCAGGATTTGGGGTTTTAAGAGTCAAGGAAAGAGGAGTAGTACATTATCATATGAAGGGAAGAGAAAGTCAAAGCACAGATGGGGGAGGGTTTCTGGTAGGTGCTGAGTAAAACAGGTAGAATATCAAAGCAGAAGGCCTTGTGCATCTAGAAGACAGGTAGTGGTCCTGGGAACTAGGTAGGAGAGCAACAAAGAGAAAGTGCCAACCAAAGACAAAAAGGAAAAACACAAATTATTTGTCTGTGCCACAATTGCTTGGCAAGGTCTTTCCCCCATTCACATTTGATTCCACTGAAATTGATATCACAGACATTTATTTTTTACTCATAAAAATATGACAAACATGACCTGAAAGGCTCCTCTAACACTAGGAACCACCTACTTGGTTTGTAGACCTTGTTGGTAGTTCAGATCCACCATTTATTAGCTATAGGCTCACATCATTTACACTCTCTGAGCCTCAGTTTCTTCACCTGGAAACTGATGATAGTAGTATCTGTAGGGATAGGCAGAACAGATCTAAGTACAGATCTCAGAGGTCCAACCATTTACTTTTTAAATAGTATCATAGGAGAAGCAGCAACAGATCCCTTTCCACAATTTTCCGGCAATAACAGAAGATAAATTATGTTAACCTGTAAGTTAACTTGTGACAAAGGTGGCATCCATCCTAAAGCAGGCCAGGCTCATTATTCTAGGTCTGTCTCCTGCTTAGAGGATCCAAAGTGAAAACCACATTTTAGAGGTTCCAGTTGCCTGTCTAATGTGTTCCCATGGGCGTCACATGTTTTTTTCTACAAATTCAATTGATGGGCAATTGTGATGAGAACCCCAAGGAAGATACAACCCCTACAACATGAACTGACATTTACAAATGTTCCTTTACTTTCCACCCTTTTCTGCTTTTTCCGATTCTACTCAGAATTGATTCCACACTAAGAATTGAAATCAGGGCTATTCAGTGAATCACTCTGTTCTTTGCTAGAATGGTGGCCTGACCCTCTGTAGAGTCATTCTTAAATTACAAGGTTTATAGGAAGCAACTGGAGGAAAAACAATTTAACACAGATGATTCCTGAGGTCTTTCAATATGTCCAGTCATTTTTCCTGTGAGCTTTCCAGAAAATACTCTAGACTTAAAGATTAAGAACTACATATTTCCTCTTCATCCTTGTATGTTGCAATTCAATTTTATCATTTTCTACTCAATATGCCAAATCTCATGACCTGAATAGATAGGATTTGGTGTTGTTTTCTGAAGGTAAATGGCAAGATATCATTAAAGAAACTTTTTCAGAATTATTATATCCTTAATAATACTCTAGAACCTCAGTTTTACCAAATTGTGCAAGCATTATAATAAAACATGTCTATATGTTATATACAAGGAGTCAAAATTTTATGGAAAATGTGTATTATGAAAAAACTATGCATGGATTTCAAAATTTTTTACATCAAAATAAACTCATATTAACTTGTTAAAACATGTCTGAACAAGATCTAGCTTGAGGCATTGAGAAGGCTAAGACATCAGTTTGAAAAGAGTCCCTATCAGAAAAACATGAATTCTGCTAAAATCGAAGCAATGTTACCAGAAAGGGGTCCCCCCGATCCATACCCCAAGAGAGGGTTCTTAAATCTTCCCCAAGAAAGAATTCAGGGTGAGTCCACAGAGTAAAGTGAAAGCAAGTTTATTAAGAAAGCAAAGGAATAAATAACGGCTACTCCATAGATGGAGCAGCCTTGAGGGCTGCTGTTTGCCCATTTTTATGGTTATTTCTTGATTATATGCTAAACAAGGTTTGGATTATTTATGCCTCCCCTTTATAGACCATATAGGGTAACTTCCTGACATTGGCATGGCATCTTTAAACAGTCATGGTGCTGGTAGGAGTACATGTCTCACAGGAATTCTGTAGGACTAAGTGAATTAATGCATGTGAAGCACATGGAACAATGTTTGGGACATGGACGGCAACAATTAATGTTAGTTATTTTATGAGAAAATATAGATGCTGTGTTAAGAAATTAAATACTTTATATATGGTGAAACTTCATTATGGATATTAAATGTTATTATTTATTAAAACCCTAAATTAGGTTTTAAAATTAAAGCTGCTAACAAATTACATTTAAATAATTTAAAGCCTAATAATATGGAAAAAGATTTCTAGGAGGGGTGTATTCACAACTTTTGAAAGACTATTGAGTTATTTCAGTTAATTGGGACAGAACAAAAGACATTAGTAAGAGGATAAAGCAAACTAGGAACCACAAAATGAAGGGAATGAATTGCAGACTTTGAGACAATACACATCTGGTGAAGGGAAATTCAATAAATGAGCATTTAAACAGGCATTCAGGAGTCTTACATAACCTAATGCAGAATACAGGATGATGGTTCAAGACCTATAATCAACGAGATAAGACAATCTAGGTAATGGTGATGTATTTATCATCTTAGCTAGATAAGCACTGGGAGAGATCTATGAGCAGGTAATAGGGAAAAGGGGCCCAGCCTAGAGGTAAGATACAAAATCAAACTCCTGACATTGGAGAGAAAGTCTGAGGAGAACGAAGCGTATAAATATTTTTACAATATCACCACAGGAACTCAGGTCTAGGGAATAATGGAGATCTAGTCATAAGAAGTGGAGCATAAATTGGTGGCTAGTTCCTAAGCTAGTGGTATGCTCCAGGGGAAAGATCCGATTTTCAGGGTCTGTGAGTTTCCGCAGTATAAATGCTCTCAACGTGGCTGACTGTAAGCTACTTATGTGACATCATCTAGCTGGAATTCCTGAGAAATTAACAATTGGCTCTCATGAGCTGGTATAAGTCAACTCCGTTATACCTGGAAGCCTGGTTTTCAAAATGTAGTCAAAAGGTTCAGACAGGCAAGGAGTTAGAATTTCAATGCTGAATCCCCAAGTGCTAAGCTAGAGCTTCTTCATTCCTCCTGCCAAAAGTCAAGTTTGATCTTAAAAAACTAGACAAGGCTGAGCTTTTAAAATGGGCAATCAGGTAGTCCCACTAAAACTAAATGAGCAAGCCTGAGAAAATCTGGGCTGACTCCCCTACAGCTGCCCCCATACCTGCATAGTTTGGATCAGAAAAAGTGAATCCGTGTAATCCTTAGCCACCAACACTAGCTGACTAGCCAGTTCAGGCTCAACACAGAATATCTTGATTAGCAGCATGGACTACTGATTCCATGACAGAAACTGAATTGATAAATGCTTTTTTAGGAAAGAAAACGCTATTTCATTTTTACTCTGATAAATGATCCCACTCTTCCAGAATAAAGTTGAAGAACAACCAGTGACAATAACGTTAATAGTTAGCATTACTTGAGAAAATGCTGCACAACTGGCACAGTTCTAGGCTCTTTACTTTTATGGTCCACACTAACCCCTATTGAAGTGGCTTCAATCACTATTCCCTGGAGCCCAGAGCCTCTTAGAGATGCCTGGGGTGGGGTGGGGGGTCACTGAGGAGGGAAGAGAAAACCAAGGTGCTGGGGCTTTGCATTCTCACTTTCACTTAAGCAGAGTGGCTCCACTTTCATCTGTTTATGTACTGAAGTTTCATGGAAGATTTCTTTCCAAAAAGGACCTCTACTGATTTTTTTAAATTGAGAACACTAAAAACCTCAAAGTAATCCTATAATTTCACTATTTCTTGCTATAAAAAATTTTAAAAATCTAAGATAAAAGACACATAACATTTCCTATACACAGCTGTACCTCCCTAAGGTTATTTACCTTCCAGAAGCTTTGAGTTGTTTTTATTATGTCCACTTATTAAGGTAGATTTTACCTTCTATATTTAACATCTGAGGAAATTTATACTTGCCCAGAGTATAAACAGATGAGCAGGGATCCTAACTGAGGTTTTTCTCTTATGTTCGTATGGACAAAAATAGGCAGTTACCTCTTATTCCTTCATACAAAGACCATATAAATTGGTCCCTTTGTCTTTCTGTGAAATCCAGTGGTACAGCTAATGATGACATTCACCTCTGCCTAGTCTACCACTTATGTCTAAGTCAACTGTCCCCCAGAGGAGGAAGCCCCACACTAAATTCCATAATACACAATACATACTCATGGGAAGGGAATAGACCAGATAGGTGGTTGATGCTCTGGCCCCATGGGTTCATATAGTTCTTAAATGTTATCTCCTCCTTAGGCCAGGCTTTTATCATTAAGCATTAATACTACTTAAAAAGGATAAAAGATTGTCATAAACTTTGAAAGATTTCCAGAGCAAATAAATGCTAGCTTATCAATTTCAGAGTCAAAGAATATTAAAATTAAATTTAAAATATACAATTAACCTAATACATTTTGAATTTGGACTAATTGTTTGAAATTCAAAAGGACCCCAGGATATTTTTCACTTGAAACACAGAAATAAAAAATTTATACTAAACAGGCAGAGTTTGCCCTCAAGGTTGAAAACATTAATCATCATGCATCTAACTGTTAACTGTAAAAAATCATTTTTCTTCTGATTTAAAGGGAATTATTTAGTGAGTGTTTTTAACTTCTCTGCTTTCTCAAGCACAGGCAGTAACATGGGGTCAGGTTCCGGGCTCCTGTGCCCCTTCACGTCCCCTTTCTCTACAAGGAGCTGCCTTTGATATACAAGGGAGCTTCTGGCCGAAAGAATGCACAAAGCCCAGGAAGAAATGAGGCTGCTAGGAATGTAATTGAGATTTAGTTATTAAATTCAGGAAATAATTGGAGTTGAACAGTCTTTCTAAGAAGAAGGTATATTTTAGCCCCACATAAAAATGAACTTGAGGCAACAGTCAGTAGGGAAAGGTCTTCACAGGACTCTCTGAAGCTTTCCACAATATTCAGAAGACCATAAAGCTGGACACAGCTTTTTTTTTTTTTCCTTTAAAAAAAAAAAAGAAAAAGAAAAAAAAAAGTTTTCTTAGGTTGGGTGAGAATATTGAGTACCAGGAAGGAAATAGGATAAACCAATATACATTATAGTCTATTTATGTAGGTTTCCCATGGAGCCAAACCACCACAACTACCTGACTGGCCTGTAATGTTATTGTTGGGCTCTTCAGTATTGAAATTTCCTTAGGTGGGATCCAAGATAGCTTTCCTGATACAAAACTATATTCCACAAGTAATATTAAAATAAGACTCAAAAGGATTCATTATCTCTGATTCTTGGTTACAGATTTATTTCATCTGAGACAAGGAAATTTCAGATTATTTTTTAAACTCTCTGGTTCTGGACAACATACCTGCCCGATTTTGCTTTGGGAAACACCCTTTCCTTTTATAGATATGGATTTTAGAAAAATGTCCATTATTAATTGAGTTTTTGGTTGCTGTTTTTTTAACATTAGTCAAAACTTTGGGCAGGGGCTATCTACTAGAATTAATCCTCCTCATATCTTTGACTAGTGAAGCAGGTCATTTTTATACTTCTAAAATGGTTACTATTTGCAGTGTAGTGAATGCAGAGATTGTAGCAACATGTTCACTTTCTAGTCAAATTCTAGGATGTTTACTTTGGAAATATGGCTAGAACAGATATTAATTTGTAGCTAATTTCAGTGCTTTTTCATACATTTTTCAAAAATGAAATATATTGAGTAATTTACTACATGCTAAGCCCTGTGCTATTTAGGAACACATACTTTACAGGTACTGTAGTATTATGACTTTCATAATTTTGAAAAATGCTAAATTTCATTAGATGTCAGCAAAAACATATTTTTTTCTTCCCATTGAAGTTCCTGGATACCCTGAATTGTATCCATGAACGTTGATCAAGGCAGGGTCATATAGATTGTAACAGACACAGTCATTTGTCTGCCTATATCCCGTCGGGTTTCTCATGAAGTATACTAGTTCCCAGTGTGCTTGTATTGCAAATACCCAGCCTCTGCATCTACAAATGGATGGCAGGGAGTAGGGGGCTTTATGTTACTTTGGGGGCATCCCTTAAACAATGACTAGCCAGTACAGGGGTCTAAATAATCTTAACTTCTTTTGCCACTGATTGGAATACCTCTAAGTTGTGACCCACGTGGTCCTCAGAGCACCTTTGTGTGGCGGAGCCAAAGTTACCATTCTTAGATCTTGTATCCTTCTCTTCTAAGTCCCTACCAGTTTTTCCCAGGAACACTTCCTAAATAAATCACTTTCACAAGAATCCTCATCAGAGAATCTGCCTCTGAGGAACCCAACCTAAGACACAGGTCATGGTAAGACTTAGATCAACAAGATGTAAAATAACTTACATGCTCCAGCTTACTTTATATAAATAACTACTGTAATCAACAAAATACTCAAATTCATGTTAGACTGGGAAAGATTTAGGACAAATGTATGGAAAGTACTTTCACTTTTGATTATAGTTAATAATATGCATTACTAACTCTCCCCCGAGAATGTCTCCGATAGAAGACTAGAAATTTAAAAAAGAGTGAAAACCAACAAACTGTGTAAACATTAGAGTAAATATTAACCAATATTGACTGCACAAAAGTAATAATTGTTTTATGAATGTATGTGTATGTGTGTGTGCATGCATGTCTGTTCTAAAAGGAAGGTAGGGATAAATGAAATAAAATTATTGTAAGGTCTTTGCATTCTACAAGAGGATAAGAGTACTAATTAGTATTAAACATATGTAAGTCAAGAATGCATGCTGTTAGCTCTAGTATAATCAAAAGGACAGTAAATGAACATATAATTTCCAACCTAACAGAATAAGTAAAATTATGAAAAATAATTACTCTAATAGAAAACAAGCAAGGTTTAAAAAAAAGAACAAAGAGTAAATGGAAGAAACCAGGTGAACAGATAGTAGACTTAAGCCAAATGTATCAATCAATAAATTAAACATAAATAGAATGCTTCAATTAAAGACAAAAAGATTGCCAGACAATTATAAATAATAAAACCCAAGTAAATATTGCTTCAGATATCTATCTAAAATACAAGGATTCAAAAGTTTTAGAAATAAACAACAAAAGCTCATTTTAATATTATTCACAGTAGAATTTAAAGCTAAAAGGATTGCTAGAGGTAAAAGGAACACTTAATAATGATGAGATATAATTCACCAGGAAGATATAATTCTAAATGTATTGCATTTAACATACCCTCAAATATACATAAAGTAAAAATTGACAGAACTAAAGAATTAGACAAATGAACAATTTCAATAAAGAGTTAACACATCTTTTTTAGTAAGTGATAAAACATATAAAAACTTGGAAGCTACATAGAAAAATTTAATGATATGATCAAAAAGAAATGTAATTGAAATATATGAAACAAAGTGGCCACCAATTTCAGAATATACATTCTTAAGGATATATTACATTTTTTCCAAATTGACCATATATTGGGCAATAAAACAATTTCATAAAATTTCAAAATAATATATAATATGACTTCATATTATATGATTTTCAGTTCTCAATGGAAATAAGATAGAAATCAGTAAAACTATAACTGGTAAATCCCCATATTTTTGAAAATTAGGCAATATACTTTTAAATGCAAGGATCAAAGAAAAATTTAAATAGTTTTAGATAACATGTGAAACTAAATAATAATGGAAATATGACCTATTAAAACTTGTGGAATGCTGCTAAAATTATTTGTCAAGGGGGTTATAGCTTTAAATGTATGTATTCAACAAAGAAGGAAGACTAAAACTCAAAGCTTGCATCTTTAAAAATTAGAAAAAGAATAGATATTTAAGACAGAGGATAGATGGAAATACATAAAGAAATTTAAAAATAAGTATTCAATAGATAACATCAACAAAATCAAACTAATTTAAATTTATAAAGATTAACAAAGTTAAATTCCTGATAAAACTGACAAAATTTTTAAAAAATTCGTTAGTAACCAATATCAATGTGAAAAAGAAACATCACTCTAGATCCTGCAGATGTTAATGTTACACCAATAAATTTAAAAATCTAGATTAAAATTTCTAGAAAAATTCAACTTAAAACTAAGCAAACAATAAAATTTTGAATAAATCATCTGTTCATCACAATACACTGATAAGAGGGTTAAAATACAAACCACACAGTGGAATATCTGAAACATATGTAACTCATAAAGGACTCCTTCACATGGACATTTTAAAAATGTAAAACTTTGACAAATCAATAAGAAAAAGATAGCTACTTATTAAAGATAGGCAGTAAACATATGAAAGGGTGTTCAAGTCCATTAGTAATAAGGGAAAAGAAAATTAAAGCCACAGTGAAGAGTCAACTGATCTTTGATGCAGGGTCAAAGGCAATACTATGGAGAAAAGACAGTCTTTTCAATAAATGTTGCTGGAACTGAACATCTGTATGCAGATGCAAAAAAAAAAAAAGTGGGGGGTTACCAAAGAGATTACAGACCTAAATGTAAAATACAAATTTATAAAATTCCTAGTAAAAATTCCCAGAAAGTAACATAGGATAAAATCTAGATGACCTTGGGACTGGTGATGACTTTTTAGATATGATACCAAAGGTACAATCTATAAAATAATTGATAAACTGGACTTCATTAAAATTAAAAATTTTTGGACACTGTCAAAGAATAAAAACACAAGCCACAGACTAAGAGAAAATATTTGCAAAAGACCTATCTGATAAAGGACTATTAATCCAAATTATACAAAGGTTTCTTAAAACTCAACGACAAGAAAACAAACAGCCTGATTAACAAATGAGCCAAAGAATTTGACACCTCACCAGAGAAGACATCCAGATGGCAAATAAGCATATGAAAAGATGCTCCACATCGTATGTCATCATAGAAGTGTAAACTAAAACAATAAGATACCACTACACACCTATTAGAATGGCCAAAATCTGGAACACTGATAACACCAAATGCTAGTGAGGACGTGGAACAATACAGTTGCTGGTGGAAATGCAAAATGGTGTAGACACTTTGGAAGACAGTTTGGCAGTTTTTTGGAAAACTAAACACAATTTTACCATATGATCCAACAATAGTGCTCCTTGGTATTTACCCAGATGGTTGAAGATATAGGTCCACAAAAACCTGCACACAAACGTTGATAGCAACGTTATTCATAATCGCCCAAACTTGGAAGCAACCAACATGCCCTTCAGTAGGTGAATGGATGACCTGTGGTACATCTAGACAATGGAATATTATTCGGCACTAAAATATGAGCTATCAAGCCTTGAAAATACATGGAGAAACTTTAAATGCATATTACTGAGTAAAAGAAGCCAATCTGAAAAGCCCACATACTATATAATTCAAACTATATGATATTCTGGAAAAGGCAAATCTATGGAGCCAGGGGTGTCAAAGATCAGGAGATGTCAGGAATGAGGGAAGGAGGAGAGATATAGGCAGAGCACAGAGTATTTTTAAGGCAGTGAAAATACTCTGTATGATACTATAATGGTGGATACAAGTCAGTATACATTTGTCACACTCTTAGAATGCACGACACTGACAGTGAACCCTAATGTAAACTATGAACTCCAAGTGATAATAATGTGTCAATTTAGGTCCATCAACTGTAACAAATATACTATTCTGGTAGGAAATAATAGTAACTGGGGAGGCTATGCATGTGTGGGGCCAGGGGTAAATGGGAAATATCTGTACCGTCCTCTCAGGTTTACTGTGAAGCTAAAACTGCTCTAAAGTCTATTATGAGACACAACCATAATGATTACTGTAAAACATTAAAAATAACTAATGATGTTGAAAAGGTAGAGGCATGAAGACTAATACTCAGATACGAAAGAATGCACACTGCATGATTCTATCTATGTAAGTTGAAAAAGCAGATAAATGAAATTTCACGTTTAGGTTGTAAAACTATAAAGAAGAGCGAGAAAGCAAAGATGGTGGTTACTTTAGTGGAAAAGAAAGAGTGGGCCGTGACTGGAAAAAATATTCTAAGATGCTGGCAAGTGGTGGCCACTTGGGTGATTCTTTTTCATGGGAAGTTATTGAACTACACATTTTTGCTTCATGAATTATTCCATATATACGTTATGTTTTAAATTAAAATAATTATTTGATTTTAATCTTTTAAGAGCAAGGAAATAAAATTAATGTTTACCAATTTAGGGAATACTAATGTTATATAGTTTTGGTTTTGTTGCTTTATTGTTTGAATGATCATATTCCATTCCGTAAATTCAGAACATTATAATATTTTGGCAACTCACAAACAACTGGTAATTGGCATTTCTCAATACAAGTCTTCAAAAATTCTAATAAAATGCTGCTTAATTTAAATTTAGCCTGTTCTCTGCTAGATATGAAGTAGGGCATTTGAGTTAATCAACTACTCTGAATAATAGAGTTACTATCTATATCATACATACAATGGGTTACACATTTTTAAGATGTTAGAATCCATTTTTAAAATGTTAGAATCCATTTTTAAAAATCATTTTGTACAAACAATACTGAGCATAATTAAACTGTTAGTGATTCAACAAACACAAAATTACCTCATTTGAGTACCTTTAAATTCATAATGAGCATCAATTGTCAATGTACTATTAGTGTACAGAAGGGCTGGGGAAGCTAAGTTTTGGTGGACAGGATTTCACCTAAGAGCATTTCTAGTTAGTGTCCCAAAGGGCAAGGGTAGTGTCAGCTTACCTGGGAAATTGGAGTTTCATTTAAACAATGTTCAAAACACATTTTGTATTGAGTCTCAGTGATAAGAGGATTGCCTTTATTTTCACCTCTTTCCTCCTCCACGACAACCTATCCCAATCTAATTTGTAAAGCCTTATTAGTGTATGCACACATGCATGTACACAAAGAGTGTTTGGCTTATATTTATACAGATTTTTAGAGTCTACACCTGTTTTCTTTCTCTTCCAAGACCTTTCAAGCTTTTCTTTTTAGAAGTCATAGTAGCCATTCACAGAAATATCATGACTAGCATGGTATATAAAACACATTCTATATAATAGATATTATGGTACTGTGAATGCAAAGATAATGCTACTACGTGTTACTGTCCTGATATTAAAGCGGTAATATAAATTATTCTACAGATGAAACTGCCTATTATAACTTTTCACTGCTAGTTTTACACAAACTCTGAAAGCAATTTTTAATTTCTGTGCATAAGTTGAAATGCAAAAGTGTTTGTTTTTCATTACAGCTGATTTCAAAAGTAAGGGCCTTAAAAAGTTAATACAGTTAAATTTTAATTTAACCTAGAATTATGGAACTGTACTCTCAGCATATAACCCACCCCCCACCTTGCCATATACACGCCCCCACACATACTGTATCACAAAAGAGAGAAAGAAAAACACCTACGCTGAACTTAACTTACCACATTTTTATTATCATGGTTAAGGTTTACCCAGGACTTTCAACCATCTTGCAAATTCCAATGACAGTCAAAAGTAAGTAAAGTAGTTCAAAAGCAGAGCAAGCTGACTCATAAAGAGCCCTGCTTCCGAGAACAATAGCAAAGGGTGTCCTTCTAAGCTCAGAAATGAAGAAAAAGAAGTTTGAGCTAAATCCAGATGATTTAACTTTTGCTCATGAAAAGTGAATTTCCTCTACCTGTACTATATTCTGTTCTTATAAGTTTGACATGGATCTGGTTTAAATACAATAGAAACAAAGAGAGGAAGTTATGTTTGGTATCCTTTACATTTACATCTTCAAGGTTGTTTGGAAATCTTTTAGGCAGTCTTCCTTTCCCCAAATATTCCCTTCCGCTGTTTCTTTAACTGGAAGAGGTTTTTCATTTTATACACTGTACATTTCCAAAGTATATATGGTTCTAGGCATGGTATTTGCTTTCCTTAGAGATATGAATCGCTTTTGTTCATTTACCTTCTTTGAAATTCATTTCTAGTAGCTGCAGAGCTGCTGCTATGGAGTGTTAATAGGCTTCTAACATAGCTGTCATTTCAAGTAATAGGTGCCAAGCTTTCAGCAGCTTATTAACACATTATAACAGCAACCCCTATACTAAACAAACAAATTGCACAGAGGAGGACACAAGCAAAATTAGTGTGTACAAATATATATATTCATATGTATACATACATACAGTATATACTTAGGACTCATCAACATATTTGGTTCCATACATGATTAGACCAGAATTGGCACTTTGTTTTTTATGAATATTCACAGGGAGAAAGAGTGGATCGGATTTGTATTTGGTCCCAAATGTGAGACGAATACAAACTGGTATAATTACTGAAAGATTTCCATCCTCTCAGCCCAGCGACACTCTCAAGACCGAAAAATTGCAGACTTGTGGTATTTCACATCATGGAACTGTGCTATCGTGATCTTTCAGCGCCACTTCATGGGGGATGCTGCAGAGGAAGAAAAAGTGGAAATAAGCAAAGAAATACACCAACTGGCAAAACTACTGAGAAAGGAAGAGATACAAATATGAAAATATGCTTCTAAGAGTCAAAATTTGCATTTGGATATGAACACTGGACCAACTCTCTACAAACACAAATATATTCTTCCAGATGCAGGGGCAGACATATGTACAGATAAATATGAGAATGTATATTCACACATGCTTTATGTAAATATGAATACACACACATATACACATATATACATATGTATATATATATAGATACACTGTCCTTTACAAGTGTTTATATATTTAATGGTTGCATAAAACTTCCTCACAGCTTTCTGGAAGACATATTTCAATAAGGGCTCTAAATTTTACATTGTAGTACAAGCTGACCTTTTTTGAGTATAAAAAAATCCCAGAGCAGTTTATAATCATGTTGTAATATATTTGGAGGTTGTAAATATATTAAATCCAACTTGTAAATCAGCTGGATAATTTTATAAAATTTACTAAAATTTGTAGTATTAAGGAGGATGACTTGATGGCCTCTGGTTATCTTGCAAGATTTAATGTGTGCTACTTTTTATTGTTACTAATAGACAGGTGGCATTATTAATTGTTGAGTAAGTACCAGTGCTGAGCTAGTAACGTTATAAACTGCATATACTACTCTGAATATTTCTAGTATCTGTAAACAACTTTCAAATCTGGGAAAGTAAGAGAAATTCAAAACAAAAAGCCAAGTTTAGTGATAGAATTAGTTAATTGAATAATGACTGACTTGCGATGGAAATTATTTCTTCACAATACTACTCTTGCTGGACTAGATATAACTTGACATAGAAGAGCAATTATTTTGAAGCCTGTAATAAAAGATAATAATCTATTTTAAGAAACTCCATTACAAAAAAAAAAAATGCCCTGGTTATATATAGCTCAAACCCAAGAATGACTATAAGAAACTTTTAATTCTTACTTGCCATTAGGGCACACTTTACAGAAATAATTAATGACTTTTAATTCAGCAAACAGCATTTTCTTTTCAAGGTAGATACAGTAACATATAGGTAATTAAGTCCCAAATTTTGAGGTCTATTCTATGGTTCTCCCAACTATATCTCTTGAGTTGGCTCTCATCTTACCCTTGTCTAGCAAGGAGTTTGTAATACCATCTTCAATGTACTTCTCTTGTTTTTAATAATTCAAGTTGTTTTTCCTACCTAAAGAGCCTTTGGAAATTAAAGCATTCATTTTATTTTATACTCTGGAAACCACTTAGTGAATTATAACCTCACTACTGCCCTCATTTTTAGATGTCTCAGATCACACTATTATGCATGCATGCTACTCATAGCATTATATAATAAGCTATTTAAAAGACTATGTCTTCAGCCAGGCACGAAGACTCATGCCTATAATCCCAGCAATTTGGGAGGCCAAGGTGGGAGAATTACCTGAGCCCAGGAGTTCGAAACCAGCTTAGGCAACATAGGGAAACATCATCTCTACAAAAAAAGAATTTTTTTTTTTAATTAGCTAGGCATGGTGGGGTGTTCCCGTAGTCCCAGGTACTCAGGATGCTGAGGCAGGAGGAGCCCTAGAGCCCAGGAGTTTGAGGATGCAGTGAGCCATGATGGCACCACTGCTCTCCAGCCTGGGCAAGAGTGAGACCTCATCTTTTTTAATAAAAATAAAGCAAAGACCATGTCTTCTAGACTGCAAGCTCCTTGGGAGAGGCCTGTATCTTATTTATCTTTGTTTCCCTAATATCAAGTACAGTACCTGATGCATGGCAGCTGTTCCATAAATGTTGAATTGATGAACAAATTAATGAATAAAGATCAGGTCCTCTCTATATTTTCAAATCTGTCTTAGCTCTCACTGCTTAGTCAAATCCAATTTCATTTTCCCATAAATATCTACTTCTAGTTCTAACAATGATCTACACCTTAAGTTATAGCCAGAAAAAGAAAAGTGTCTGCAAGTCAGGACCTCATCCCTTTCTAAGAACTTCTCCTGTTTCTTTTCCTGAGTAAACTGATGCCTACAAAAAATAAATATGCAGTAGGGTCAGGACCGAGGGTCCTTTGGTGTGATTTTAGTAAAAACATTTTTTATAGAAAAGTATCTGCAATAGCCTCCCAAGAGTTTGGTCAACTCACCCCACAATTTGGTTTCCAGTGACAGTTATATGATATATGTGTGAAAATAATGGGTAGGGGTTTCAGGTTATGAATGTTATTTTGGTTGACATTCCCAGCAACTACCATGATTTTAAAAACAGAAAAACAAAAGTAAAAAAAAAATAAGTAAATAAGAGAAAGAAGAAGAAAACTAAAACAAAAGAACCAAAACTTCCAGCTACATATTTTATAGAAACTACTCAAGCCAGTTTGGAAAGGCTGAATGCCACATGACCCATAAAATATGAACTTTCAGTTTTCAATCAAATGAGGAGGGGAAGTGGCTCTGTGTTCTCACCAGAGTGTTTTAAATAATCTCCTCTATAAATATATATATGATTGGACTCTATAACACTATATATAATAAAGGTGGGTAGCAAAACCTGTTTTCTACCTCAACATTGTTTATGCTATTTTAATAAGTTGAATAAACTTGGGAAACTAAGAAAATGTCACTTTTCCAACTCTGCCAGGAAGGAATCTGACAACTGCTACATAATCACTGAAATGCTGCAATTTGTTAAAATGCTCCTAATAATTTTTTCTGACTTTTATCCAAAGGCTAAAGTACGACAGAGAGAGAGCAAGAGAATCGGGCTAATGATGATTAACATATTACAGAGAAGGAAGGCTACCATGATTAATTTCAAAGTCAAAGTGCTAGGGAGTTGGCACCTTCACAGAATCTCTGATCAGGGGAGAGAGCAGGAGTTTGAAAAGAGTGCAAAAAAAAACCACAGCCTTTAAAATAATGAACAGCTTTCCCAAGTCTTGCCATACTGCAAAAACACCCATACACCACGCATGCATACAATTCCCAGGGGCTCATAAATTAATTTAGTGACAAAAGATTGTACCCAAGTGATAAAGGTCCAGTACTACGATTATCTTTATGGATAATTGGGGCCATAAAATAGTTCCAAAGCACCTTTTATTTGTCATTTGTTGACAATTCAACCAATTCTCCTGTCTGCCATCCTCCATATTTAATAGGTCCCTATCGAAGTATGCAACACACTCGTTCGTATGGGAAGAATGTCTTCATATTGTTATGCCATTGCATATCCTTTACTTCCTTACGTTGTTCATCAGTCTACCTCCTGCTCTCTTTTTTTTTCTATGACACCTCTGAGATGGTACCCATAGCAACACCCCTGAGAAGAAGGTGAAAGTGAAGATGCTGCAGTCATCCCCAGCGCACAGTGCTGACAATGCCAGTCATTAATGCAGCAGCTTCTGCCTGCTCAGATCTCCCTCGCTCCTCTCTGGTCTTGTTTCCCTCCAGTAGCAGCCACAGAGCTCACTCACAGAGATCCAGAGACTTGCTGTTAATGATTTGTCACTTGTTTAGAACACCTCAGGATGGCAGGTCTGTATAATCTGCCCTCAATGGCACTGCCAGCTTGCATTAGGAAACAATTACTTAGTTTATGACTAGTAAAGTAGGCACCAGAATTTCCAATTAAACTCGCATGTTTCCAAAGGAGCCTGGGTGACCCTGTTTTTCAGGAAAGGAACAGATGCCCCCATTAGGAACAGTTCTACTCACTCCTGCTTCAGAGTAAGCCACGTGTAAATTAGTACCCTCTAGATTCATAAACTGGGGGCGACAGAATATGGAGAATGATTATGTGAATTCTTCAGTCATTGCCATTTAGGATCTCACTATTTGTTAAGATCTGGGTAAAATGAAACACTAGACACTTGCCTAAAGGCTTTTATAGTATAGAAGAAACAAAAGACACTAGCATGTAGCATTATTACTTTAATCACTACCCGCTTTCTTTGTGTGTCTGTGAGCACATGAATTGGAGAAGAAAAAAAAAACAATGATTATGGATTTATTCCTCTTCTTTTATGTTCTGAATAAATATTAGAATCCATAGATTATTTAATCAAAATTAAGAGGTTGCACTATAAAAAACATTATTAAATATTTAACATCAAATATAAACATAAGCTTGTATAAACTGGCTAATTTAAAATGTTTTACATTGAGTAGATCTTGACCTAAATATATTCCATGAATTTGAAATCACTATATTTATTGAAACACAAGTTTTTTTCATAGCTAAGAAAGGTGAAATGTTATTGAACCTCAACTCCAAAAAGTTACAGCCTGGAGTTTCCATGTAATAGCTCTCGTAATATCATATGATGATTATAATAATACAAACTTAGAATCTTATTCAAAATTCCAGGAAGAGTATATAGATATTTAACCAAAAGTCTGCATGCATGAATATCACATATTTCTAAATCCCTTTTCCGCTCCCTCCAAAAAGAGGAGGAAAACTATCCATTTATCAGTAGCAGTGTGAAAGGAGAAGATTTATCATTTTAAATTTTTCATTGCAGATGGTTTTCATTTTAAAAGGCGGGGAAGTGATTTTTTTGAAATCATTTTTTTTCTTAATGCAATTGAGCCAGACGTTTCTCGTAAATCTTGTTGCTTTAGTAGACAATACTCAATTCTCTAAACTTTATATGCAATATCCAGCTTTTTTTTTTTAAAGATGCTCCCGGGCATGAAAATGAAAGCCATCTGAGAGGTGGCATCATATTCAAAATATGCCATCCTGGCTACTCCCCTTCTCCTTAGCTCACACTTCATCTAAGATGTTCCTCTTTGCGCTCAAACAAAATGGGGAGTCTCAATGAGTTTTTAAAAGATTTCTTTCTTCCTTTTTTTTGGGGGGGGGGTAAATAAATGAGCCTGCCAGTCAATATATCTTTCAAGTTGGATAGCAAACTGTACCCAGTGATTCACTGAGGTCATTGAGTCAGAGAGACAAAATAAAAAGCAGACCACAGAGGAGAAAGCAGAGAGGGGATGCTTCCTTTGTAATTAAAAAAGAATTATTTGATACTTGATTTGAATTTCCTGCATGATGTCACTCTCTTTAAGGAAGAACAATTTAACATTTGTGGTACAGCATTGGATATTTCCATTGAGCAAACATGATGGTACTGTACTTTAGATTGTTATTATTAAAGTACATTCACTGTCCATTTTTGAGGCATCAGGATCCCTAAAATAAAGATGTACCTTAAAATGCCATCAATCAAAAATTGCCAAATTTACATGACAAGTTTGTTCTAAGGTGCATTGTATATGTCATAGATATCATAATTTTAAATATGTATCATATATAATATTTGTATATCATATATATCTTTCTTTTTATCTCTCTATGTATCTTCTAATGGGAGATTCCTTGTTATTTGACCAGATTAAAAGGATTGCTTTCTCAGATTCTGGGTTTGAGTCTCTTATGAACTTTTATGCCTAGCTTTAAAGATATAAGGAATTGCATAAAATGCAATCACTGGTTGGCATGTATTTTGTAAGCTCCAAGTAGGCAATTCTAATGATGGATTCCACTTAAGATTTTATTAAATCAATATGTATTCATATTTGCAAATACTTCAAAGAGATGCAACTGAAAATTCAATAAAGATTTACAGAAAGTTCTTTCTTTTGCAGACAACAAGGAAGTTCTGGCAGATGAATGGAAGCTAAGCTCTCCTGGATGGAGAGTGTTAGAAGAGACACTGGAAACTCAGTCCCAAGATGCTCAGTTTAGTGTTCCTATTGTTACAACCTGTGACTTCACACAGAATGAGTGAACAATGAACATCTCAGCAATTGATAAAATGATCCTTCACCAGCCAGGACCTTTTAAAAGAATTGTCTTATAACTTCATCTTAAAGAGCATCTTCTGACATTTGTTTGCTGAAACATACATTACACTTCTGCTATCTCATTCCTTTTCCACATATGCTTCCTAAGCCTGGCTTTATATTAAAATATGAAAGTTACTGGGAAAAATAATTCCACTTTCAAGCTGTAGGCCTTTTCCTACAGCTCAAAATTATCACATTTATTTGAAAGACGTTTCTTTAAAACATCTGGAAGATACACCAAAGTGATAAGCTGGAGAGAAGAAATCCTTTGCTCCAGGAATACATTCTTAAATATAATGCTGAAGAACATAATACAAACAGGAAAATGAAAATCACCCATAATCCCATCACTGTGAAACTGTATTTCCTGCATGATATATATTTATTTTTCTAAATCAAACCACATTTGGCATAGGACCCAACCCCCTAGGAAATCCAACTTAAGTCATTTTTTTATTTCCTCTCCTTTATGATCTTAAGTTCTATGGTTCCTTTAAGAACCATAGAACTTACACAATCCAAAAAACTTTGGAAGAAGGATCTTCCAAATTGTCCTTCAGTCAAGTGTAGTCTCCATTACAATGATCATGGTCAACTCAAACGCATGTTCCTGTTGTCCCTTCAGTCATGTAGACCCATTGCTGTTGCTCAAGGCCAGTTTAAATCATCTTTGAAAGCATACTTTTTATATGTGTATAATGTTCCATCCAATGGTTATGTCATAATTTCTTTATTCCTCTAATTTGACATTTAGATTCTTTCAAGAATTTTTGTTATTACTTGTAAGCTATAAAACACTACAGATACACACAAATCTTTGGCCACATCTCTATTTTATAAGGATAAGTTTTTAGCAATGAGATTCCTGTATTAAGTACAGATAGCTTTAAGGATCTTTATTCTAACTTAAAAATTACTTTTCAAAAATGTTAATGTATTAATAACTTAGTTTTTACAAATATTTGTTGCAGATTTTCTTGTCTGTTTCATGTTTATTGAAATGAATAGCTTTAATTTTTATGCAGTCAAATTTATGCATATTTTTCTTTGTAGTTTTTTTCCTCTGTTTTATGGTTAGAAGTCCCTTCTGTATCTGGAAATCTAATATTATTTTAATTTTTTAACACATTAATCAAACAAAAATGCATTTGCTACAAAGAATGAGCTTAGAACCTCTTTCCCCCCCCACCACCCCAAATAGTTAATCAATTCCCATCACCATTTCCTTTGCCCAGTAACGTATACTTTTTTATATGGTGGAGCCCAAATATCCCTATGTGAAGATGAGCATTTGGGTCAAATGAGTAAGGAACTTCCCTCTGGGAAAAATTTAAAGGGGGCACAAAAAAAACCTTCAGTAATCAACATAAATAATATTACAATACAATATTTGAAAAATCAAAACTAATGCAAAAATTTCAGATAAGCAATACATTAAAATTTTAAGAAAATTCAGAATCAAGTCCTGTAGCCTTCTGGTGTCATTCTTTAAAATCAAATCTGTACAAAGTAACATGAGTGCTAGCAGTCTCCCTAATATTTCCAGGGATACCTGTAGGACTTACGTTCCTCAGAGTACTTACATCTCATGCCAAACCCTTGCTCAACTGTCAAACACTTGTGACCATCACATCACCACTCTGAACAGCTTCATTCTTAGCAGGGACACAGTCCCTTTGTCTTTATTTCCCAAGGCACTGCTAACGCAAGGCTGTTAACACTTAAATTTTTACTGAAAGTTTGGAGGTAATTGAGGGAGAGTACAACACAGACAGGGAAACACCCCAAGATTCATTGTGAAACATCACTGCATCTAAGATTCTTCACTGGTCAACCCCCAGATCATGGTCACAGTGATTCCTCCTTAGATTGGCCAGATGCTAGGCTGATTTCTTCATACTGATTTGTCTTCCCCATCACGTCTTTCCTGAGCTCAACAATTGTCAGCCTTCCTTCCCCGTCCTTTCTTTTTTCAGTTCAGGTTATCACAGAAACACCAAAAATCCTTATTTCTTTACTGTGTAAAGTAAGCTCCTAGAGTATTGGCCTTTGTGTCAGATAGCGCTAGTTTTTTCTTCATCTCTTTCCCCTGGCCCTTAGCACTTCAGAGCTTGCCGGTCTGACTTCCAACTAACAGCACCTCCATTTACTTACCTGAGGCTTTATCTGGCCACCAAATTTTGTTTTATCTACAGGAGCAGCAGGTTTGAAGTGCTTAGAGAGTAACACCTATCCTTCTCCGCAATCCAGCACCCCTAGACCAGTAACTGAGAGAATGTGCTGTGTAAATACGCGAGTGGTCTCATCTTCGGTTAGAGTGGATGAGTCTAAGTGTGTGTTTTACACCAGTGCTCACATTTCCCCAGCAAGATCAGGCTCCACTTGCCTACAGTGGTAAGGTGCTTGCTAAAAACTATCTGGGCCGCCTTCCCTCCCTGTCTTACTTCTCTGCTCCCCTGCCAATATTTCCCGGGATCACCAATCAACTGCTTGTGGAAAAATATTTATCTCAGGGCCTGCTTTCTAAGATAGCATTCATGGCTAAAAGGGCAGTCTAGCCCTCTAAGTCTAACTTTACAAAGAACAGACAACTTTGGCATCACATTTTTTCCTGTATAATGTTTCAAATTTGGTGGATTAAGTCCCTTGGTTGAATTAATTCAGCCCTCTCCCCCATCAAAACAGCCTCTATAAGCAGGAAGGGATTAGATGTTTGGCAAGGTCTGAAAGAGATATAATAATATATCTTCGCTACCCATAGCAAACTCCAGAGGATGTAGCTTTTAAAAATCTTTCCATTTCATTTAAATTCTAGTACATATATGTTAGAGTCTTTTTTCCCCTAGCTTCCATTTTTATTTTCATTGATCCATATGTCAGTACCATAGATTTTATTATTATAGCTTTTACTATGTTTAAAATTCTACATCAATTTGTCTTCAGTTTCTGCTCCCCTCCCTTTTATTTTCTTATCTGGTCTTATCCTTTTTTTAAGATCAATTTTAAAACAGTTGTAAAATTTAAGAAAAAAAGTCTGTTAATTTGGAATAAAACTAAATTAAACCTAGAAATTAGGAAGAAGCTAGTTTTTGAAAAATTTTTTCTCCATATTGGAACATGATATCTCCCCATTAATATCAGTTTTCTTTTATACATCTCAGAAAAACAGGGGTTATTGTTTCAAATAATAAAACACATCTTTCTTATTGTTACAAATATGAAATTCATTTGGCTGCAAATATGAAGCACATATTTCTTAAAGTGAAATTAGAACAAAAGCTAAAAATAAAGGTTTTTTTTTTTCCCCCATGGTGAATTCAACCACAATGTGGTACAATGAAATGGATATTTGCTGCAAGTATAGTGGTCTGTTTTGGTTTATAGATAAAAATTCAAAAAGTTTTAATTAAGAAATGGCTTGCTTATAGCTCACAGGCAGACTTAATAGTATTAAAGATACAGAGCTTTTGTTTTCAGAGACAATCAACAGGGTAGACAATGTAACAAAGTTATGACTCCTATTTTTTATGTTTGAAATTTCACATTTGCTCATACTCCTTTCCAGAAATAATTTTAAATACCTTAAAATGAAAGATATGTATGATAAGGTTAATTAAGAACCAAGAAAATGAGAAAGAAGCATTTTTCCTTTCCCCAAATACGTTTATTTAAATCCAACTTTCTTTCATTTAGATACTTTTAAGTTCTGGGGCTAGTACCAAGTGATCTGACTCTTTTAAGCATAACACTACGTATTACCTGAGATATCGCAAATCTTAGAAAAAGTATAGACCCTAAGAGACAGGGTGCAATGCAATTAACTCAAGAGAACTTCAAGTAGCCAGTTTTGCTTTCAGGTACTTAGGAGAATGGACTTCAAAACCTGTCTTTGCCTTTAACTTACTATGAAATAATGGCCAAATCATTCAGCCTATCTGGGACTCTAGTTTTTGTGATTAGAAAAGTTATAGATTCTAGCTCTCAATCTTTGGTCTAAAATGACACTTACTCTGAATAGTTAAATCTGGGTGAATTTCCAAACCATTCATAGTTACTTAGGTAGCCGGCCGTTATTCAGGAAATGTACTTTTTTAAAAAACCACTTATTGAGATGTAATTTAAATACCATAAAATTCATCCATTTAGAGTACAATTCAATGATATTTTAGTCAAAATTCTCAATTTAGGTAAGTTGAAAGGGTTATTTAGACCATAAATTCTCCTTACTAAATGGTAAAAAAATTGATAAGGCCACTTAAGTCATATTTTCTCAATGTGTGTTGTTTTATTTGGAATACTTCAAATTCCCATGATATCAGACACCATGCTTAAATATAAGTCTAAAAAGATTTCAGAAGCAAAATTTATGTGAGGGATATTCAGGGTCCTGCTTCAGACATTAGAATAGGTAAACCAGTTTTAGGTAGTAGACTCACAATACAGATGGTATAGCTCAACATGCTAACAAGAGAAGAAAAGGACAGGTATCTAACCCTATATGCCCTCTGCTCTGCTATGTGAGCCTTGGCCAGTTCTCTCTACCTTCATTGTCTCATGTTGGATAAAAGCGTGATCAGTTATAACACAGCCTTTATTATTGTAAATATTATAGACATTTTTATTAGTTACATATCAATATGAAATTTATATTAACTGTTCTCCAAAATTAGATATTGGTCCTTAGATAACACAAAATGTATGTGTTTTGATGGGAACCAATGGAGAGACATATAGAAAAATATCTACCTGGTAAAATTGCAATCAAAAGATTCATATTATTAATTTGAGAGTAATACATGTACAAATGCTTCCAATTACTTCTGTGGAAATTTTTTACTGGGTTTATTTGAACTCCCCTGTGCAGAAGGTTCTGATATGACTCATTGTATTCAGCAGAAGTCAAATTCAATTTCATGGTTGATCTGTATAATCTGCTAAATTCAGTGTTTGAAGGCTTTCTACTTATGATACAAAATACTGACGTAACATGATTTTGGCTGGTGTGATTCCTGCTTTCCACACTGGATTCATTGGTCTGAATTGAGATGGATAGATATGTCAGAGGAGATGGGTGGCGGTGATCATGTGGACGCTGAGCTGCTCACTGAAAGAAGAAATTCACGTTTTCACTGCACATAGATGTGTTTCAAACCCACATGTTCTGAATAGTACATACCTCCTCACATTAATGATCAGTAAAATAAATACTTATTGAACACCTATTATAGGCAAAACCCTGTGCCAAGTGCTGTGGCAAGTGCAAAGATGTATGACAGGAATCTTTGACTTATAGTAGGGTGAGAAGTATGCATAAATAACCTTCATTGAAGGCTGACTAGAAAGGGCATTGCAAGAGAATGGGGGAAACTAACTGGATGAGGGTTCATGGAGACTTTTTGAAAGAGTGGAGATTTGAGCCAGGCTTTAAAGGTAGAGCTTAATTACTGACTTTAATCCGAATTAAGTCACCATGACTAAATAAATTTTAATTAAAGGCATTAATTATCAGTAAAAGATTTGCCAAATCCTCTATATGTATACAAAGTAAATATTAAGCCACATGCTGTGCACATTGTATTTGTGGAACGCTCTTTAATATGATTGTGACAAAAATTATAAATTATAGCACAACAGTGAAAATATTTAAAACCAGAAAAGTCACTGCCTCACGTATGTATAAGATAGAATCTTCAAGTTACAATATCTTAAGGCTTCCAGCAAATACAGTATGTAATATTTTTTTTTTAAACAATAGCTGTTTAATGAACTCCTCAAGTGAAAATCACAAGTGCAAAATCAAGATTAGGAAGTTATAACCTGGAATTTAACGCACTGGAAATAGTTGGGTCTCCATGTGCTATCATCTGCCCCTGAGTATTAAGCTTTCATGGCACCATCTCTGGTTCCAGGTCACTGAGCACACCACCCTCTAGACCACTGCCATACCGTCACTTTCCCAGGATGCTATTGACATATGACGCTAAATTATCACGTAATGAAGAACCAAATTCTCAGCCTTTTCTAATTTTCACAGAAAATGAACTTTAATTCAAAACTACCACTGGCTAGTTAAACTTTCCTGTGATCAATTTGCTCTAATTATTTCCTTAAATTGAGATGTAACAAGGGTTATATAAAATTATGCTAACAGAAGATCGGATTTTACTCTGAGTTTTAAGCTACAATGGGAGTTTCTAAATTGTTGCAGCCTGTTGCTGGATGTGGACACCAGTCTACAAAAATCAGAATTGGGCAAAATAAGCTTTTTCTTCCTCTTTGAAATCTTAAAGTTTTACTCTCTGAAAATACTAAAAACTGAGGTTATACTGAACAAACAATTTTGATATAGATCCAGTGGAAAACTCATCTAAATTCAATACATTGATCATAAAATACTAACTATAAGCCAAATTAGCTCTTCTTGAAGACTGTAAAATCCAATTATGTGCTGTATTAGAAAGTATTCAGATTCTCTGTCAAATTGTATTTTCATATCTCTGTGGCACTAGGATGGTAACTTTTTAAAAAATGTCCCATGTTTCTTTTTTGTAGGAGGGAAGGAAAGGAGAGAGCAACAACCTCTGGAAGAAATGGAAGTGGTTATCACTAATGCAAACATATTACATTGAATGAAAGAATCTTCTTTCACAGCTTTGCAGCAAACACACAGAAGACATGAAGAAAATAAGTCCACAGCCCAAATTATCACAACGAGTTTGGAACTTAGGATATCCTTCATTTTGGCTAATCAGATCCCTTCCTAGTTATGATGGGGCAAACTTCGTAATAACACACAGCCTGGACTCCACCAATGGGAATAATTACCATCTGTAGAAGTATTATGAAACTGCCTTATAAAAGTTTTTTTATTAAATATATAAAATTAAACTCATCTATATTTTTAATGTACCTCATTGTAGTTCATTATGTAACAGCCCCCATATGTTCTGTATCATTAGTGAAACATTCTCAGTGGTGTAATGATGTAGTACCTACACATGGGGTAAAGTAATGCATTTTTTCATTTCTTCTGCACATTTCATTACAAAGTAGAGATGCTGCAATTTTTCACTCAAGATTCCATTTTGGTGTGGGAAAGAAGAAACAGACCTAGAGCCAAAGCTGCATCCAATTTCTCTAATTTTATGATTCAGCAATTGATAATTTGCTGAGGATAACTTTTCTTAACAGTCTTCTTCCTTATCAGTGCTCAGGAAAGGAGAGAAGGACACTGTAGATCCTAGTACTTCTTTCTAAGCCAACCAGGCATGTATGATTTCTGAGGAATATGAATGATAATTGTACCAATGATAAATTGTGGCTCATGCCCCAGTTCCTTAAAGGGAAACTGCAGTTTGTGGCAGATAAGAAATGTAGGATCCCATGTTTTCCAAATTTAGTTCTCTTTAGTATTTGCTGTAGAGATGGATCCATTTTCTTTGGCTTGATTGGTATAACTAGAGCTTTCTAACGACTTCATCAAAAAGAAAGCTGTTCCAGAGTAGCCTCTGTCTTTGGGTGATAGGAAAGGCTGCTTCACAGCTCATAAGATACCTGTGCACTGTTCTCATGGAATTTTTTAATGAAAAGTTACAAACCACCACACAGAAATACAAAAGACATTTTAAGTATTTCCATGAGATGTTTCAGGGCCCCCACTGTTTATACAGTTGTTGCTTCTCCACTTTGCCTAGCTTTTTATTCTCTCCTTTGTTGTTTACTGACAGTAATAAAGGGCAGCTGGCTTCTTATAGTTTGACTACCACACTGGCTGTGAAATGTCCTTCCCCCGTCTCCCAGGCTCTTCTCAGCTTGGCTCAGTTAGGATATACATTTGCAACAGGAGTCCCGAGCTCTGCCCTCCTTACACCCCTGTCCCTAACCTGAAGATACGTCCTTTTCAAGAAGGAAGTCTCGTTATTACACATTATTTTACTACAGAACTACTGTTGGGTGGAGAGGACCAACTAGGCTCAATTAAGCATTTCTTGGGAGTATGTGTGGCTGTCTACTGTGGGTTGATAGCAGAAAACATGCTTTATTTTTCTGTGGGTCTACTCAGCAACATGTACTTTTCCCAGTTACCATTTGCAAATATCCGATCTCATTTTCTGTTCCTTCTCTTTAGGAGAACTGTAAAAATTACTATTTTTTTTTTCCTATGTTAGGATTAAAGAACTGGGTCGGGGAGGGAGGTAAAGGAAAAGGAAGGGGCAGAAGAGACCCCCATGAGTTATTGGGAAGAAAAGTTAAAACCAAGAAGCCAGCAAGTCCCAATTGTCTACTAAGTGTCTCTAAATAATAAGGCAGGGAGATAATAACATTGAGCAGTTGCTGTTTTCTGTTCAGCATCACCTCCTTGTTTGACATTAAGCTTGATGTCTACCAAGGCCACAGCAGACTGGTTCCTCCTGCACTCCTCAAGCTGGAATCTTTGCAGGACATCCAGCACACAGATGATGCCTCAGCAGTAGTACTTTGTTCCAACGAAAGCTAATGAAGAGCAATCTCCCTGATAAGCGAGTGAACTGGCTTCCCTCAAACCCAATCCACTATTCTGTTTCTCTACAGGAAATTTTATACTCTTCAGTGAGGCACAGCACTCATAGATAAATTATAATAAGGGCTGAGCTGGAACACAAGTGTATGTTTGCTGCTTTCCCTAACAGATTTCAATTCATCCGAAGGACGCTGCATCTAGCGATATTCTGTTCACAGACAAATAATGCCCTATACACAGCTGTGCACATTGTTACACAGATTTTGGAACGAGACTATAGTTGATACAGTTCATGTGCAGAAAGAAAAAGAACAGTCTATTGGTGCTAATTCTCTTCTTTCTTAAACAGGTTCACTATTTGACCCAGACCCTCCACTTGGTTTATCTGTAAAATATGCTAGATACAGTCTCTTCTTGATGTTCTCTTGATTCAGAAAGGAGTTAATAGAGCCAAAGGTTTTGGCCTTTAGCTGACACCTCCGATTCCAGACTTCAAACACGAATGCTCTCACTTTCCCCAGTCTCCGAAACTACATTCTCTGGGGACTGGGAAGTTAAAGCTGAAATTAGATAGCTACAAGTGCTAACACCTGCTACAAAAGTTCATGTATTTTTGCTGGCTTTACAGCTGTGTTGGCATTTCAGCAGTTTACTCAGTGAAAGATGGAGAAGGGCGCCATGGCCCTGTCGTGGTGTGCTATCCTTTTTCTCAGTGGCTTTTCTCATTTTGCTGCCTTACGAGCCTGCTGCTTCTCTACTGTGACCCAGAGCAGCTGCTCTCTGGCTTCTGCCTTATGACCTGCAGGAGTGAGACCAAGGGAGGTGGCCACAAATGCCTTACTCATCTGAGGGAGCCAGAGGCACTTGCAGGTGACTTCAGAGAGTTTTCTTTTTCATTAGCTGGGGGGTGGTGAGGGAGAAGGCCTACTATCCTAGTCTCAGGGAGATAAAAATCCCCAATTTGAGGTTTTAGGCTGATGCAGAAAATGAGAAACGTAAGAAGTGGCTTAAGAATCACTCCCCAAACAGAGAGAAAAGCAAGGGAATGGATCTCAGCTGGGAATCCCTATGCTTAAGAGGTTAGGAGAGGTGGGAGAAGAGAGAAAATTGGCAAGAATGAGAGGTTCTGAGCTCAAACCTATTGATGTTACCTCATAGTTTGCTTTTTCATTTTGAAATGCCATTGAGGAAGTGAGGTACCCAGCCCAAAATGTTCTACTGTCCCCCTACAGCTGCTCCTCCTGAACAGGGGCAAGCTCCACAGTCAGCACAGCAGTATGAGAGTATCGTCGTTGGAAGGTGGCATCCAGTTCCTGCTCTACTCACATCTAGTGGTACAGCTGGAATCAGGTTACGAAGCTCTACTTTTGCAAAAACTCTCAACATTAAATGGTTTCTTCTATGTGTTCTAAGCTGCTTCTCCTTTCATCTCTTTCCCTTCCTCCTACTTGCCAACTCTTCCTCTTCCACTCCACCATTTAGAAAACTGCTATCCTTTGGCCCTTCTGTTTTCTGGAAGCATAGGTCTTGTCCTACTCTGCTACTTAGTAGTCTGCCCTAAGTTGCTATTTATAACTCATTTCTTGAGCCACGTCTAGTGGTATGGGAGGGACCTGACCTAGTGAGTTCGTTTTTCCTCTCTCCTTTTTCACATCTAGAAAATTGCTTTCTCATCCCAGCAAGGTTTGACTCCATCTCTTTCTGTCTAGTTTTGCAGCACAAAAACAACTAATTCTCAATAAATTACTGGATGCCGGTGGGGAGGGTCTGTAATAAAAACTATTCCTAATACACATATGCATTCAAAGGTAATTTCTTTGTCCTCTCTATAAAAGTCCTATCGTCCCACTTAGAGCAACCAGAGATCTTAAAAAGGAATTTCTTTCAGCTTCATTTTTCTGGAATGAAATCTGAGATTCAGAAAGATATATTATGTCCAACTTCCTGCCTTTCTCTTAAAACATTTTTAAAAGATCTGCCTTAAAATGAAAATCTCTCAGCTCTAGGTTTCTGAGAAAAAGCATGTAGCTGGAGAAAACGAAGTAGCTCTTCCCCCCACCTTTTAAGTTCGTGCTAAATTGCCTTGAGACTGTCCTCACCTGGAGGCTGAAGCTCTGATGGGCAACTCCATCCATCTGTGCCAGAGGCTAGTTGAAAATACAATCTCATTTGCACCTGCCATGATTTTGGGAGCCCTGCATCATGGAGACAGAACACAGGGCTTTGTACATAGAGGGCTGACTTCAAAATGCAGCTGCAGATGGAAGCACAGCAAGGGCTTGTGGGCAGCCAGGATTTTCTCATCACCAGTGAGACAATGAGAACACCACAGGGTTGAGGATGACTTCCAAACAGATACCCTATTAGGGTGGTCTAGGAAACACAGTGGGTGATTAACGTTTCATCTCTGGGTTCTGAGCCTGACTTACTTCCACTAAAACGGCATTGAGTGGCAGCACGAGGCTTCCCCTTCCTCCTAATGCCCATCAGGTGTGATCAACGCCAACCCAGAGCAAGCTCAGTGGGAATGCAGCCCATGACGACAGAAGCATAAGGGAAGGTGCCTGACACTGCCCTGTCTGCCTTTTAAGCCACTAACATTAGCCTTTTCACATGCAGATAAAATTCACCCAAACTATTAAAGCAAAGAAAAAAAATTCTCATCACTATTACATGGATGTTCTGTCAACAGCAGTAACAGTAGCAGTTACAGAATAACTACAGATAATTACAATCATTTAATTCAAAGTACCAAGTCACTTCATGCAGAACATGACTCATTTATCATTATTGACCTTAGAAGAAGCAAATTTACCCAAATCAATAAAGGTTCCAAATATCCATTAGAGCAGACAGAGATTGGTTACAAGTGTTAGGAGCTTCTATATACCTGGATTAATAGGGGGAAGTAGATCTGGATGCTTTTGATAAATGAAGAGATTTTTTTCCTTTTGAGACAGTTATTTGAAACAGAATTGATCTTAATTTCTCCTTTAATTCATGTTATGGAAAGGCAGTTGTTTTTGTTAAGAAGTTTCATTCCCATTAGTTGCTGAAACATAGTGTAATTACGAAGAGAAGTAATCTATAAACAGGTAGAGTTCAACTTTGTTTTTAATGGACTCTTCAGGGCTCCCCTGAATATTCATGTGGCAGAGATCAGTCTGGTAGGAATGGACTAGACATCATTGTGTTTGTCTTTTAAACTACTGTTGTGAGCTTCTTCACACTCAGATAAAATTCACCCAAATTATGAAAGAGAAGAAGAAAAAAAATCCCATTACAATTAAGTGGATGTTCTGTCAACAGCACTAACAGAAGCAGTTTCAGAGTAACTACAGATAATTACAATCTCCCTGTTGCAGAAATGAGAAGGTTTAGGCTGCTTTTGAGAGTCTGGTATTCAAAAATAAGGCTGTGGATGGAAATTGAGATAATAAGTCAGTTCTGTCACCTGAGCATCAAATAGTTCCAGTTAATTCCCAGGTGTGTTACAAACATTACCTCATTTAATCCTAACGCTGAGGACTGAGAGGTTAGAGAGGGGGGAGGTGAGAATTGAAGGAGAAATTCTCTGATCTCCACTATATACACAGTTTAAAACATGCCCCACCCAGCAGCTCAGTCCAAGGTCCTAGGATAGAGAATTCGGACTCCTGTCAAAAATGAAATAGATCATGAACTGAGTTAGCATGAAATTAGTTGTGTGAAAACAAATTATAAGTCTGTTCTGCTGCTGTCAAAATCGCGAGACTTCATGACAGAAACTAAGAAGTATGAAAAACTACAAATGTCATCTCATAGGAAGACCCATCACAACAATGGCCAATTGTTCTCTCACCCCTTTTCCACCCATCTGGGGCCTGTATCCCCATCTACTGGGAGAGAAACTGAGGCAGGCTCTCCCAACTTCACACAGCCAGCAAAGATGGGGCTGGCATTTAAGTCCACATGTGTCTGGCTGCAAAGGCCATCCCCTTCCCACTGTATTGTGCTGTCTTCAAGGGTGTTTAGGGGATCCCTACTAGGCCAAGCATTCCACAAAGATCATCTGGAAGAACTAAATCAACATTCTGAAATGGGTTTTGAATGTTCCCTACCCCCAAGAAGAATAAATGATCTTTCCCCCTCCTGCGGGGGTTTCTCAGGATCAGGTGCAGCATAGCCCACACTTTACATTGATTAGTTCTTGTAAAGAAGCCAAATTCCACAGACCTCTCATTGAATATGGAGTTTAAAATCCCTACTTGAAGAACTGAGAAAATTTTCCCCAGCTAAAAGTCCAGCACCACAGGAAATCCAGGTACTGGCAGGGAGGGAATCAGCTGGAACCACTAAAGAAGCAATTGCTTCCTTAACACCATCTGGGGAAGAAAAACTAGAGAATGGAGGCTGAGAACATGGAAGGAAGCTCTAAAGGAAAAGGGAAAAATGCACAAGAAGCCTAAGTCCCTGGGACTGAAAATTTGTTCCATTTGCGTTTCTCTGCAGGAAGAAATAAAGAAATGCTGACAAGGCGTGCCAGGCTGAATCCCCTGAGCAGTTGGCCTGTTTGACTTTGTGTGATGGTGGGCCAACCTGTGTGCCTGCCGGCTCACACCACTGTAGCTCTTCAAACACATTCTATAGATCCCGCTAATAAATTCCGTTTGGCTGCAACCCTTTCCCAGTTCCAGGCAGTCGCCTCTGAAGTGTAAGTGCAGCCTGTCTTTAAGCCAGGCTACTGCCACTTACTGGTGATCTGTACCTCTTTGGAAAACTAATCTATGCTGCATTTAAAGGCAGGAAGCAGAGTTTGAATGAAAATGCAGTCCCATGGCTAGGGGACACAGCTCTCACACCTTCTGCAGCTCCAGAATAAGTGCTATGTTTTAAAAATATATATGTATGTGTTGGCAACATTGAAAAGGGGGCTAAAAAAACATCCCCCACAGAAGTGAGAGCAGCAGCAAAAGAAACGTTAGCGCCCTGCTGACGGGAACAATAGAGCATATGGACATCACACTGCACTTGCCAAGCAGACGAGGGCAGGATGATCAAAATGGAGTCAATCTGCTTCTCTAATAGCAGAAGAATCGCCTGTGTGAACACTGTCTCCAAGCGTGCAATGAAGCTCTTTAATTGCCTAAAAAAGGAGAGGGTTTGGTTCACATTTTAGCTAAACGTACTCCTTCCACTGGATGTCTTTATCTCAGAGCACTTCCTAGGGTGAGTCTCAGGCTAGTCTAAGTCCAACCATCTTGGACTTTAGTGCAAAGTCTTAGGTGGAGCCACACACCTAAGACTTTGCACTAAAGCAGAATATCACCTAGGAAGAGGTCTCACTCAGGAACCATTCTTGGCTGGCATGGAGGTGGAGCTGACTCAATCACTGCATAGACCAAGTCCTGCAAAGTTCAGCTCAGGCTTCCCACCAAGTGGCTTCCTGATTCCTACCTCCTTCCTTCAGTATCCAATCCCATTTCCCTTCTCATTATGGCTTCCCTTAGAGCAAAGAGCAGAGAGGAGGTTAAAAATGAGATTACGTGATCCAATCACTCTAAAGGTGCCTTTATGTCTACATTAGTAGAAATTGCTTTTGATAGTAGTGTTATTGGATATTGAGCAGACTTACTGAGGTCAGCAGATACAGGACATTGAGATGGCTAAAGACTGAGTTGAGTGAAGTGGGCCTGACACCTTCTCATAGAGGGAAGTTCTACAAGCATCAAAATCAGATGGTAGGATGGACCAGACAGGAGAAGTTCTGGACTAGTTGCCAGGTGGAGGACATAGGCCGCTGCACAAAAGCACAAAGGCATGGAAATGAGTCTAGCATTCTAAAATCATACCAGTTCAAGAAGAACAGAAAGGGGGGGTCGCAAACACATTGCCAGAAGGTAACTGGAGTCCAGGATTCAATCTGTCTCTTCAATGAGTGCAGGACAGGAGGTGATTAGACTACTAGGGAATGGATGGAGAAACCCCATATTCATTCATTCTACGAACACTAGAAGACCTGATATATGCCAAGACCTGTGCAGATAAAGTCTAGGAGGTCTGAAAGTAGATTTTAAACACTTACTTAGGACTAGACTTTAGGAGGGTGGAAATCCTGCTACTGGGGACCTAGGAGGTCACTTGAGCAATCTAGCCTCTGAAAAACTAGGGATAAAAATTCAGGAATCTGATTATGACTAATAGAGAGTGCCAGAAGGGTAGCAGTTTTTTTATTCTTGTACACTGATATATTCTAGTGCTTAGAATAAGGTCTGGCAAATAGTAGCTCTAGTAAATGTCTGTTGAAAGAAAGAGAAAGAAAAAACAAAACATGAGACTAAGATATAGAACTGAGAGAAGGTGGTTGCAATGTAAAATTCATTCATGTGGTCTGCAATATTAGTTACTTGGGTGTGTTCATTTGAGGAAAGTTCCTTGAACTGTATACTTGGGATTTGTGTACTTTTCTACGTAGATTTTTGTACTTTCAATGAAGACTTCAAAAACATAAAAATAAACTCAAAAAATCAGTCACTGACAAGCTGAGATATAAAGATAAACCAAAATGATTATCATAGAACAATCCTTAGTTCATATAGGTTTGTCCAAAAGTTAGTCTTAAAAACTTAACTCTCAGAATTACTTAAGTAATCTGGAGATTAAAATATTAAGGTTCCTGGGGTAGAGGAAGGAAAGCCAGGCAATCTACCAGCATGAATGTTTAAACCTCAAGGTCAACTCTTCTTTTGTAAAGTTTTTCATTTTTAGTTACAATGGCAATTGAAAGGGGAAAAAATGGCTTGATGGAGCCCATCTCCTTTTCTGAGAATCAGCTTGAAATATATTTCACATTGCTGTGGATTGATTAGTAAACTGTTCACCTTATAACCATGTTCGATTGGTACTCTAGCTCCCTGTTTCTTGCTCTAAGATTTTTTTTTCTCTTTAATTCAAAAGGCACAGTGAGACTAAGTAGAGGCCTTTGGTCTTTTACTCTGGTCCATGGCTTAAATACTATACACTGACACAACTTCCAAATATATATTTAAAGCACAGACTGCTCCTCTGAGCTTCAGACTTATGTATCTATTTAACTGCCAGTTCCACGTCTCAGCTTAGATGTCACACAGGCATTTAAAATTATCCCACAAATACATTCATGTTTCTTAATGCCCACTCCCTCCTCTCCAGTCCAAACTGCTATCATGTTGCACCTAAACAGATGTGAAACTCTCCTTCCTGATCATCCTTCCAACCCTGTGCTTCTACCATCTATTTTCCAGACAAAAGCTAGCATATTTTTAAAACATTAATTGAATGACTTTACTTTCCTATTTAAAATGTTACAATGACTTCTCATTGCACTTCCATTATAAGTGAAACTTTTTCTCATGAGATTGGAATCCCTGAACAACTGCATCTATCCTCTAATTTCATCTTTTATGTGCAGTTCTCTTCATCATCCATAGAGCTGTAGTCACAGTGGTCTCCTTCCAATTCTTCAAACCTGCAAAATAGTTTCCTGCCTCAGTGTTACTGCACAACCTGGAATGCTCTTCCCCTATCCTTTCCATGGTTGAGTTTTCTTCTTTTCTTGGTTCACAATGGAAACATCACCCTCTCACAACCTGCTATGATAAGATTTGTAAGAGGGGTTCTCTGTAGTCCATTGTTATTATTGTCCATTCCAGGACCCTATTCATTTCATTCCTAGTAGTCATCATGATCTCCTACTATAAATCTGTGTTTTTTTCCTTGCTGTTTTCTTGTTTATCATCTGTCTCCCACACCAGACCAAAACCTGAGAGGAGCTCAGAGCCAAGGCTGTTTCATTTACCACTATCAACTCAGTACCGAGCAAATGTCTGACATATAATAGGAACACAGCAAATACTACTTAAATGAGTTAATGTGTCAAATTTTAAAAGGGAGTAGAATGTGTTTTAAAAGGAGGAAACAAAGGAGGAAAGAATAAAAGGAGACAGCAAATGGGCATCAGTAGTAGCTTAGATGAGGTGAGGCAGAATCAGAAAATGTTGAGATATTATGAACCAGCTGTAGAAGAAAAAAAAAAAACCCAAATCAAAAACTGTAATTTCCCATCAGACATAATTTGACCTGCCATAATAGCATGTTGTTCTAATTAAAAAACATTTAGTGTAAACAATGGCTTTAAAGAAAATTAATGTAGTCATAATGGTATAGTTAAGGCAATGCTAACAATTTCAATAGTTAAACCTCCCTAGTTCAGTGGCTTAACATTGCAAAAGCTTTTTTCTTGTTCTCGTAACAGTCCAATATGGGAGTTTCTAGTTGGATAGATCTCCTTGAAGAGATTAATCAGATGCTCCACTATCTTGAACATGTGACTCCCACTATTCCCCTGCGAGTTGACTCCCTCCCAGGTAACTGGAAGGGGAAAATAACACGAAGGGTAATAAGTGGAGAAGATTTTATAGATGAAGCCCAGAAGTGGGCTATGTCATTTCTGATCACATTCCATTGGCTAGAACTCAGTTTCACAGCCTCATCTAGCTGCAAAGGAGGCTGGGAAATGGAGTTTGGCTTTGTGTCCAGGAAGTGGAGGAAATGGGTAGGAAATGAGAGGGTAGTCTGTGTTACAATATTCTTTGTCTTTGAAAAATGCCTTTCAAATGTTTTATTCAAGTTGTCAGTTAAGTGAAAAGAAATAATGTTTACAGCATGTGAATGGCAACTCTAAAAATAGAAGGGCCATTTAGTACATACTTTATGACAAAAATTTCCTCAGGTGCCCTAGGTCAGCTTCCTAGAGGTCCTAGTCAATCTCCCTCATTCATCAGTGAGCTGTAGGAGACAGTGAAACGTGCTCTCGGCTGGAGTCCCTAAAGTGTTAATGTGCAAGGTCTGTGTGCAGAAGGCAAGCTGCCATAGATCTCACTGACTTTGGCAGCAACTCAAGGGTTATATTTTTCTCAGGGATGAAATATTCTTGGATAATTGTTCCAACATGTGAGACCCAAAAATGTTTTTTGTAGAAAAGATCTCAGGAAATAGAGACAGACAAAAATACCTACTAAGTTATCTAGTCCACCTCTTGGGAATCCAAGCGGATTTATATACTTCAAGATATTTCACAGGATAATCCAGCTGCATGTGGAGCAGCTAGCTGTGGACCTCCCTGTCAGCCTGCCTTTATGGTGCATGATACAAACATGCACATGCACAATCATCATCCCTCTCAAACACAGGCTGAGTCGGCTTTATGGGTGTGCATAGACTGAACAGATGCCTATGTAATATGGCATGAGAGATGCTGGAAAAAAGACTCCATGTCAAAAATATCTCCCCACCTAGTGTGTAACACTTTCCTAAGATGCTGCTGTAAATGAATACCTTAATATGAACCTCTCACCTTTGTGTGAAATTAGGTTACCAGGTCCTTCTTCTCTAGCACAATTTGCCAAGATCAGGACATTAATATTTTAAAGACAAAATAGGATATAAAAAGATAATTATGGAATATATGACCCTGTCCAGGAAAAGGAAGACTGGGAAGCAGCTCTGGGCACCTGTGCATGAGAACTAACTGTGCAGGAAAGATATTTATGTCATTATAATATGCTTATGTAGATAATCAGTCTCTTTCACTTATATTAAATACAATTGTGGCAATCAGTTATGCAAGATCAGTGATAAACTATACTTGATTCCACTTTAACATCAGAATAGATTCCTGTAATCTATTCACGTATTCTATTTCAACTATATTTGTAGGTCAGGCCTACAACTATTTCTTGGGAGTCTCTTCCAGTTCCCCCATTACACAGATGACAAACTGAGGTCTGAAGATATGAGGATTTCACAATGACAGAGCCACAACTATAACTCAAGTCTCCAGATTTCTCATTTGTGGTTTTTTATAGTGTGTGATGGCATTTAGTATTTATTATTATACTAAGTGCTGAGTAAATTAGGTTATACAAAGAAAAAATACAGTAAGTGCCTGCTTTCAAACATCTTTCTATTAAGAGGGAGAAACTAGGCCTACACATATCATAAGAAAAATTAATTAATGGGAAATATTTGCCCCATTCTTCATGTTTCCTTTTTATGATAAAAATTCCAAAAACAAAGTAACCCCAGTCTTTACTCTGCCCCTGGGAAGGTAGAGTTTAGTTTGGAAAAAGTAACTGGGCATGTGTAGTTCTGTTCTGTTCTCCTTATGAGCACTCATAACTAAAGAAAGCTCAAGTTCTCTGCACCTACATGCCCTAAGTCTTACTGCTTAAGATAAAGTAAATAATCCTGTCTGATTTGGAGCACCAGTTACAAAGCACAATTTATTTTGATACTAAGCCAGTTCTTTCAACGTAGTCTTTCTTCTTTGTCTTATTCCTCAAATTCTTTAGTTCCACACTGGGAGAGAAAAGTGCTGTTTATTGGTGACCCCCCTTGGACAATATTCTCTAATGGTTTGGGACTCAAAATAAGGGTGAGTTCCTGTAGAATATAGGCCTTATGACATCACTTTAAAGGCACAGAATGGGAGAAGAGATGTCACAGGTCTGGAAAACTACAATAGATCTTAAGACACCAGACTGTGCAGATAGAGAGGAGAATTTGAGGAAGTGAAGTTTTAAGCCTTGCAATTAGATATTCCAAACCAGAGTTTGCAAATCAAAGGTCTTCAAAGTCCAGGCAGGTAAAAACATAAATATGTGCAGCAAATAATTATAGGACAATAAAATAATAAAACATAAATAAGCTTTTTCTTTAATTCTTGATGGTAATCAATGGGTCAATCAAACAAAAAAAATACCTCTATGAGAATATTTAACTGCTCCAATCTAAACTATTCCTGACAAGTATATGTCCAACCTATGCTTGAATACCCCAAGTGTCACTGCCTCTTGAGGTGAACCATGCCGCCTACGTACTACTTTGATGATCAGAAACTATTCTTCTATGAAAGCAAAATCTGCTTCCTTGAAGCTCACACATGTCCTTGCTAATTTCATCCTTGAAGCCATTTAGAACTAAGCTAATTCCACTCAGATCTTAGAAATTTCAAGGGAATCCGATTTTAGGCGTCATCAATAGGAGTCAATAAGATGTGTCGAATAACGGAGGGGATAGTCCTATGTTCCCCTGCACTGGTGTGAAAATACCTATAATATTGTATCCTATAAAATGTGCGAACCACATTTTAAAATAAAACCAGATGGAATGGAACATGTTTTCAAAGGTGAACTACAATACAAGGATAGTGAGGGAATTAAAAAAAAAAAAAAAAGCACATGTTTCAAGAGGACACTCAGAACGATATCATCAAACTCAGTGTTCTTGTCTACCTCTGAATGCCCTCCTAGGGCTTTCTTTTCTTTTTTTTTTTTTCTTTTTTTTTTTTTTTTTTTGAGATGGAGTCTCGCTCTGTTGCCCAGGCTGGAGTGCAGTGACGCGATCTCGGCTCACTGCAAGCTCTGCCTCCCGGGTTCACGCCATTCTCCTGCCTCAGCCTCCCAAGTAGCGGCGACTAGAGGCACTCTCCACGATTCCCGGCTAATTTTTTGTGTTTTTTTTTTAGTAGAGACAGGGTTTCACCGTAGCCAGGATGGTCTTGATCTCCTGACCTCGTGATCCACCCGCCTCGGCCTCCCAAAGTGCTGGGATTATAGGTGTGAGCCACCGCGCCCAGCCTCATAGGGCTTTCTTTTAAGGTTCTCTCACCATGCTTGTAGTTCAGCTCTGAAAAAAATGTAACGTTCCATTCTGTGTGGATTCCTTCTAAAATGCGGTTCTCAACATTTTATAGGATACAATATTGCAAGTATTTCCAAACTAGTGCAGAAGGACACAGAATTATCACATTCCATATGTTACATACCTTATTTGCTCCTATTTGTGCCACCTAAAATTATATTACTTCAGAGTGGTTACTTTGAACTAAACCATCCAGATCACCTTTATTTATATGGCTGGTAAGCTACATAGCCTACTCTATGCTTGAATCATTGAACACAAAATATTTTTTATGTTCAGTTTCACCTAGTTAGGGCTGGCCCCTTACTCCAATTAACAAAATGCAACAAACCTTGGAGTTAAGATGCACCCATTGGGTGCACCTCCTCCCTCTGGGTGCTAAGAATTTACAGATAAAGTACCCTGCCATCAGACAGCTCACACAAACTTCAAGGACACAAAGAAATAAAAGAAACCACAAAATGATATACACTCTGATGGAATGTTTATGAAAAAATGCCTTTGGAACAAAGAGGAAGACATATTTTTACACTGGTTGGAGGATCGGGGGCATTGAGGAACGCTACAGAGAGAATATGTCATTCAAGCTAGGCCTTGAAAGATGGGTAGTAATTTTTTTGGAATCAAGAAGACATGGAGGAGGAGGTTATTTCCAGGTGATGGAGCCCCTTGAGGAAAGTTTTAAGCTGTGAAAAGGCAGGACACATGAAGAAATTGTTGGACAGCACAGAGTGCATGGAACATAATGGCGAGAAACAAAGACTGCTGCTCCGGGCTGAGAAACATGGACTCTAGGCTGAAGGCAATGGAGAACCATCAACAGGTTACAAAGCAAGGGTATGGGGAGTCTGTGTTTTGTGGTTCCTGATTCTATCAAGCAAATTATTTATTACTCTTTTCAGACTTCTTTTCTCTAACTTCTATTTGATAGTGACTCTTACGTTTTGTCTAAGTTGTTGATTGAAATGTTGAAGAGGACACCTCAGCCAGCTCCCTCATGTTTACATCATTCCACTCATCTGGTGACAATGGAGATGGTGAGGATAAGATGAAGAAAGGAGCTTAAAGAAAAATGTGCCATGCTCTGCACATGAAAGCATGTTAGAACCCAGTGACACTCCAGTTATGTATGGAGTTTGATGTAAAGGCAGAATCAAAGATCATTTCAAGGTCTTTAGCCTGAGTTAATGCAGAAAATGTGATTCCAGAAACAGAGTGTGATTTTTGAAAAAAGGAGAGAGATGAGTGGAAATGTGTTGATTCTTGCTTGGGGGCTATTGAATATCAGGAGTTGGCAGGACCATAAGTTATAAAGGTCTCAAAGCCTATTGTAAATTCAAGATGAAAGTTTGGGTGAGAGATCAGAGCTGAAAATGGAGATTTGGAAGTCATCCACTTGGATGTGTATCTGAAACCCTGAGAGCGGACAAGGTTTTGGAAGTGATGAAAGATGAAGTTAAAAATAATTAACTCAACATGATTTGTTTTGCTTACATCTCTCATACTACTGGATCGTAGGTGGAGAATGCAAACATATTACTTTTTAAATTTCTCTTATCCATCTTAATGATCAGGAAACATTTAAGAATAATACCAGAGGAATTGAGGAGAAGTTGAAACATTCAGGGATTGCCACCCATAGGCTGATTCTTGCCTGCATAATGAGGAGTCAGAGAAACATAACTGAATCCAGATTATACCGTATGCTCTGAGTTTAAAACGATGTCTGCTAGAGTTTGGTTTGTTTGACCCTCCAAATCTCATGTTGAAATTGGATCATCGGTGTTAGAGGTGAAAGTGTTTTGGTCATGGATGCAGATCTCTCATGAATAGATTGATGCCTCCCTGGAGGAGGGAAGGTTGGTAAGTTCTTAATCTATTAGTTCCTGCAAGAGGTTGCCCTAGAGCTGGTTGTTATAAGGACCCTGGCGCCTCCCCTCTCTCTCTTGCTTCTTCTCTTGCCATATGATCTGTGCAGCTGCGGGCTCTGCTTCACTTTCCACCAAGAGTGGAAGCACCCTGAAGCCCTCGCCAGATACAGATGTTTGTGCCATGCTTCTTGTACAGTCTGCAAAACTGTAAGCCAAATAAATCTCTTTCTTTATAAATTACCCAACCTTGGGCATTCCTTTATAGCAAGAGTCAATAAACTAAGACAATGTCCATCGACAAAATGAATCACCTTCCTTCCCTTAAATATTTTCCCATCACAGATTTTTTTAAATGGTGGTAATAAAAACACAACCAGAAAAAACTTATGCCAGTGATGCCATTTTTATTTAATAAAATATGCTTTAACATTTACCCTTGAGCCACAGAAACACTAAGGTTCTATTTATTATTTTGTCATTGACTTTGATTAGTGTGTCTTGAACTCAGCTTTAACTCTGTGAGAGTGTGTATACACACAAACACACAGTGTACTTTGTTTTGTTTTACAAATAGCTTCTCTCCACCAAAAAAGTCTGATTTCAAAGGTTTGTTTATAGTAGGAAATAACTACCTGAAGCTCAATTTCTTCACTTTTTCCAACTCTCTGTTAGAAAACTCATCTCTAAGTCACTGTGAAGTACTAGGAAAAGCTGGATTTGGATATTGTTTTCTATCCATTTTTTTCTACAATTAAAATTCTGGTACAAAATCATTTTTCAATTTAATATTTCTTTGCTCCCAGCATCCTCCAACGTGTGCATAGATATTCACTGTCCCACTGCATTTGAGATTATTAATTTGACGGGGGAGGGCTCCCATTAATATTGTTCTTCTTTAGCAGAGGTCAACTCTCCTCAGAATCTCCTTCATCGTAGCTTGACCAGGGACGAAATTTATGAATTTTGAAAGTATTGTCAGTCAGCATTGAATGCATTTACCCATTTAAAATGAGTTTTGTTTCTACGCACTTTGCTGTCATCCATGGTAATTGGAAAGTCAGTTTGAGATATCTTCTAATGTGCTTTTTAAAATTGACCAAGGCTGCAGAAGCAGCTTCTTAAACTAAATATAATTAATTTCTAACTGTCCAACCTGATCACTGTAGGCTGACAGTCCCTCAGTATTCCTTATTTTTAATGTCTGTTTTTTTTTTCAATAGAGTACACTGTCCTTTCATCTCCCTCTCTCCTCCTGCAAATTGGCACTTTCTGTCTTCTAGGAGGCTCATTACCATCCAGTGATTTTTCTCCACTTCACAGTAAAAGGCACTAAACTGGGGCATCCACAGGAAAACACACCCACCTAACTATATAGCACATTCTCTTTTCTTTCCCCAAATCTTCCTCCATGTGATCTTTATGGTTTCGATAGCCCTCAAGTGTCAACAGAGACCTGAAACTCTTCAACCGTTGGCTGCCTACCTCATTCACCCTCCATTCCTCCCAGGCAGCAGCCTAAGTAGAATGGAATGTCGAAGCACCTGATTGGCTCAGGGATGGAGCATCCATTCTCCAGGAATGCCCTGTAGATACCAATTGAAACTGCATCATCCATAAAAGTAATCCATAGACCCATTTGCTTTTCATTTTTTGGCTTATGATAGCAATAATGACTATAACACAGGGCCCAGGAATTGATGACCAGCTGGGGTTAATGGCCCTTGGCTGCACTGTGGGCTATCAACTCCCCCAGCTGGTCATTAATCCCCAGGAAATGCCCCATACCTTGATCGTTATTACTTAATTAATGCCTCTTTCATTTTCAGCCTAAGTGGTCAGAGCACAGTAACCCTAACAGCAGCTTGCAGTTGGAACTGTGTATTTCCTCTCAAATACTGGAATTCCCTATGGCTGCATACATATTTTAAATTTTTCCTAGAATAGTTGAGTATGTTTGCCTCGGGCTTTTTTTTTTTTTCCTTATAAAAGGTTGGGGGTTGGTAGTTGTGAGGGTTTATTTTTCAAGTGACAATTTGCTACTTGCATATCAGAACTACAAGGTCAAAAGGAAACGAGAATGTGCTCATCTTGCCTTTTGTTTTTAGGTTGTCTGAATTGCTTTTTCTTCAAGAGATCTAAATGCAGAAATAAACAGGAAAAACGAAGGGGGGGCTCCCCTTCTGCTGTTACTTAGAACGGACTTCACAGTCCTTGAAATGGCATAATAACAGAATTTATTTGGCTGTTGTAAAACTTCAAGTGCTTTCATAACTAGTTAAATAACACCCAGGATAAATATTCTCATAGTATTAGCATTATTATGTATCATATTTTCAGAGATTACTATAAACTATCATCAAAGAATAAGTTACCACTCTGTCAAAGGAGATAGATTTTGTTCAGTTTAGTGGTGACTAGCAAATGTGAGTAAAGGAAAAATATGGGAAGTTTTGTCTTAACACACAATTACTACAAGGAACAAGCCATATGCTGCTTTGGGTCAGTTGGGTTTATACACAAAGAACTGCCTGTTTATGAGCCAGGTATCAACCCCAAGTGATCTTAACTTCTTCTGTCTCAAGGAAATGTCTACATTTTTTCTCAGCAGAAGCATAAAAGAAATGCAATCCTCTCCTCTTTGTATTCTGAGAGGAACTGATGTTATCTGGAGAAATATGTTTCTAAGAGATTAGCAGTGATTCATGACCATCAGAGGCTCAAGCGTGTAGAACAACTTAGAGGAGATCATTTGGGAAGATCCAAACTGTAATGCTTTATCTTAAAGTTTACTTTCAGAATCACACATCTCCAGGATGGATGTTTTAAGTAGGAATGGACTCTCACCAATGGAATCATTGAATCTTAGGGCTGGACAAAGCAGTTTGCAGCAGTCATTTAGCTCCCTGACTTAACTTCATACAGGATTAAGCATACGGATCTAACCCCAGTAGATAAAAATCTATCGTGAATTTAGTTGTATGACCACTTCCCTAAATGTATCCTAAAGATAAGCAGTTGTAACTGATGGATAATTTTTCCATGTAGACAAGCTTGAGTTCATTGTCTCTTCTGTTTTCAGGGCAGATGGAAATTCCTTGCCTAGCCTAGATTTTTATAAAATTGTCCTCTCCTCTAGACTTCTAAAGAAACAAAGTACCAACTTCTTTATCTTTTCTTCTGAAGTCTTTTATAAATTATAGATTCAAGGGAAGGGGTATATGTGCAGGTTTGTTACATGGGTATAATGCATAATGCTAGGGCTTGAGCTTCTAGAGAGCCCATCACCCACATAGTGAACATAGAACTCAGTAGGTAGTTTTCCCACCCTCTTGCCCTCCCCACTTCTGGAGTAGCCCTCCCCTACTGTCTGTTGTCTCCATCTTTATGTCCATGTATAGTCAGTGTTTGGCTCCCGCTTATAAGTAAGAATGTGCAGTATTTGATTTTCTGTTTCTGAGTTATTTCACTTAGGATAATGGCCTCCAGCTGTATCCATGTAGCTGCTAATGACATAATTTCATTCTTTTTATGGACATGTAGTATTCCGTGGTGTATGTAGATACACACACACACACACACACACACACACACCACATTCTCTTTATCCAACCCACTGTTGAGGAACACAGGCTGATTCCATGACTTTGCTATTGTGAACAGTGCTGTGATAAACATGTGAGTATATGAGTACGGGTGTCTTTTTGATAAAATGATTTCTTTTCCTTCGGGTAGATAGATACCAAGTAGTTGGAGTCCTGCATTGAATGGCAGTTCTATTTTTAATTCCTTGAGGAATCTCCATACAGTTTTCCTAAAGTCTTATTTTCCTACAATTTTTCATCTTTGTGTCACTAGTTTCTTACAGTTTCCTAAGATCTGCTTTTGGTTGTGTGTTTGCAGATTGTGTGTAGATCAAGCTTTAGGATCTGAATAATGCAAGATGTTAATTGAGAATTGCCTCATGGCCCATGGTGTCTGTACTGAATCAGAAAATATTAGAGTCTAGGTCCTTCTCTGTTGAAAACCTGTCATATGCTTGAATGGCTCCAAGATGGGTTCCCTGTGTCATTTTTTCCGGCCTCTCTATTCTACAAGCACAAAGAGTGTTTACTGTAACTGCACATTGTACCACACATGGAGCATACAGAGCTTCAAACAAAAAAAGGCGGAGTCTATGCCAGCAAGGAATTCACAAATTAGTTTAGAAGACACACAGATAAACAGACCCGAACAGATAGTTCAGATCAACAGAGCTGTTGCTCTAATAGATAGGAAGTTCAGAGGATCATAGAGAGGCATTGGAGGGGCACCTAGCTCAACTGGGAGATTTAGGAACCATTCCCCAAAGAGGTAATATCAGAACTGAATTGTAAAGAGAGAAAGAGAGTTCATGAAAAGGGAAAAGAAGTGTGTTCCAGGTAGAAGGAGCAGCATTTATAAGGGCACAGAAATATGAAAACAGGTAGTCCTGGAAAATGGTCCACAGGTTGACATTTCTATTGCTTCTATGTCGTCTGCTACTCACTTAAAAAACTTCTAAGTTATTTCTTGCTGAGTCTCCCCAACCCTGATCCTCTTCCTCTCTCTGGATACTATTTTCCACCTGCCACGCTATGCATCCTCCCACTTCTGCAAGTTCCTTGGGCAGGTCTGGTTTCCAGGGCCACCTCTGTACCTATCTGATCAGCATGATAAACTCTGCACTTCTGTTCAGAAACCTCTTCTCCCTCACCCTGGACATGTTAGGCGATGTTAGTTCAACAGTTACACATCCCACACTTGCAGCTTATTGTAAGCTATTTTGTATCGTTGATTTGAGGTCAAATTATTCTGTCCCGTATGCAGTCATACACAAAGGGTACTTTTTAAAAACATCTAATAAACTTTATCTTAGAATAATTTGGAACTACAGAAAAAAGCAAGCATGTTATAGAGCTTCCATATACTTCATACCCAAATTATTATAGAACTTTGGCACAACTAATATGAATAGTAATACATTATTAATAACTAAAGTCTATTCTTCATTTAGACATCCTTGCTTTTTCCAAATGTTCTCTTATGGCTCTAGAATCCCATCCAGGACACCACCTTACATTTAGTTATAAAGCCTTCTTAGGCTCCTCTAGATTGTCACAGTTTCCCCAACTTCTCTTGTGTTTTGATAACCTTGGCATTTTGAGGGGTGCAGGTCAAACATTCTGTACAATGTCCTTTAATTTAGGTTTGTCTGATGTTTTTCTCACAGCTAGACAAGGGTTTGGAGAGATTTGGGGAGGAAGAGCACAGAGGTAAATTGCTATTTTCATCACACGATATCAAGGATATAAGCTATAAATGTGATCACTGATGACTCATCAACAGGACTCATCACACTTGATCACCTGCCTGAAGTAGTATGTCTCAGTTTTCTCTACTGTATAGTTACTGTCGTATATCATAAAAACAATACACATAAGCCAATATAAATCTTCCTTTTTTAAGCTGTTTTTCCCTGGTCCCATAAGTAAAAATGTTTTATATTTTAAGACTTAAAAATAGATGGAGAGAGTAAATATATTTACTCATGAAACATAAAACTCTATACTACATTCAGGTGTAAGTGAGATGCTTTTCCATACTGTCCTCTTTAGAACAGAGTCCCTATGAGCAGCCCACACTTACAGTGGGGAGTTTATGTTCTACATTCTTGAGGAAGGAATATACACATAAATTAGTTGAAATTCTTCAACAAATACTTTTTTTAGTGTACAAAATTCATTTAGTAATAACGTAATATATAAAATCTGTGACTATATGTATTTCTGAAAAAAGATAGTGATAGATACAGATGTAAATGTAGATATATAAAAGTCTATGTTATGAATATGGAAGGGTGTATAAGAAACTAAGAACACTGGTTGTGGTTGCCTTTGGGAAGAAGAACTAAGGGTGGGAGGCACCTCATGTACAACTCAATACAATATACAATTTTATGTTTCTTGAATTATTTACTCTGTCCATCCATTTTTAAGTCTCTAAAATGTAAAACATTATTATTGACGGAACTAAGTAAAAACAATGAAGAAGACAAAGGAATGGTCACATTAGCTTATGAATATTGCTTTTATCATATAGGATAATGCCAGATCAGTGATCTCTATGACCACTCTTGGCACCTGAAAATAGATCGCAGAGTGTTTCAGAGTATACAGGGAAACATCAATGTTAGTGGCTAGTTTTGATAATAAATAGTATATGCCAGAGTTGTATGACTGTGTTTGGTGGTAGCAGCAATTGGGCAAGATAATCAATAGTCTGATTAAAAAAAGAAAGCCCAAGAGTCTTCTAAACCTAAAAAGTTGATTTGCTATTTTAGTACATGTAATTGAATGTACAAACTACCCTAGTCATCAGATTTACTAGGAGAATTACCCTCCATGTAGGCTTCAATGAAGATTAATATTGCCCATTGATAAGGAGAAATGCCTATGGTAGGTTATTCTCTTGAAAGGTGCTTTTCTCTATATTGTATAACCAGTGGTTCTCAAGGGATAAATAATTTGAATTGCGTCTCATAGAGGCATTACAGAATTAGTGTTTGTTTGTTTTGCTTTTGTATTGAAGTAAGATTTCACTATTCCACATAAGAGATAACTTAACTACTCTATATATGAGACGAGGGTTATGTTGCTCAACAGTTCATTAAAGAGAATAAACTAAAGCACTTAAATTGTTTAAAATAACCTTCTAAATTTGGGAGCAAAATATTGTGGCAAGAGTTAATACAGACGTAATAAGAAAAAAAATTGAAAAAGAAGGCTAAATGAAAGGATCCAAATGAAATAAAAGCAAGAAAAGTAGGGTACTTTAAAAATAAAGATCAAAATTGACCATTGATCTCTGGTTAGAAGGGAGAAATAGACAATGGGAAGTAAACAGAGGTGTTAGCTCCTTCAGAGCAGGGACTTCTTCAGATTTTACACGCCTTTCGACACAGAGCTTTGCATAGATTAAGGACTGATTTAATATTAATATTGATTGTTTTATTTTGATGCATAGTCAAAGATAAAAAGAAGAAATAAGGCTGACCAAAGAAAGTAGGTCAGAGAAACAAACAAACAGGTTTTCAGAAAACAGGGCCACTGAGAGCACTTTTTAGACTTTTCAGTTGTCTCAAGAAGTCATAGCTTCTCTTCAGCTTAATGCATATGATCCTAAACATCTTTTTAGAATTATATCCACCACTTTTATTTGGACAAAGCCACACTATACAAAATCGCATGCCAAGTTTCGACTAGTATCACATTAACTCTCTACTTTCTCTGCCATAACATACTATAATAAATGGAGAGTTTGTTAACTGGGAGGGGATTGTAACTTAGTGCTTATATCAGACCACTATAAAATTTTATCAGTGCTGCTCCAGTAGGGATAAATACAAAAGTAATATTATCTTCTCCTAATATGTTATTTCAAGTCAGTGTCAAATTTACAAATGGAAGTAAAAAGTCTGTTAAGATGAAACACTTACTCTACAAATTTACCAATAATTGCAACAAATTTAGAATTTATATCATGGTGAAGTCTAACAAATTAGACAACATTTGAATAAATGTATTATATATCCCTGAAATCTAAAGTGGATAACACATGTGGAGAGAGAATGACTTATCTGATTAAAAGAATGATGTCATTTTAATTTCTAATCAATGTGTTGGTTACTAGGATGTATAGTAACTAGTATATAAAGAATCTTAGTCATATTATAAAATACAAAATAAGTATTTTTATTGCAATTGTACTATCAAATGGTCATATGGACCTTGGTCTAAAAAGAGATTGTATTCTATCTAGTGTTTCACTATTTCTAGTAGATAAGGCTGTGTCATTAGGAACTACATATTGATTTTAATTAGAACAGGCACTACACCATTAATATGAGTTGTGATGCCACTAAGGCAGTTGTCAAGGGGGGATTAATTAATTAATTGTAAATTAATTAATTGAAAATGAATCAAATCAACCTAGGAAAATGAATATAGAACTTGGGAAGGGGAAATTAAACTCACAAAACAGATTGAAAACCCAAGGCAATCTAAATTGTTAATCAAGACGGGAGAAAATTAAGCAACTCATTAAAAGAGAGTACGTGTTGTTTTTCAGAAAGCAAGGTAATAACAATAAAAGCCATGAATTAAATTCAAACATTTTCCTTAAAATAGTATATAAAATTCCAAAAAAATGCTAAGATTTTGCCAGTTTATGCTACAGACCTGGAAAGATGATTTGTAGTATTTAACACTCTTAACACTCATCACAAATTAGTCACTTTATTTTCTGTTCATAGCTAAAGAGGAAACACTCTCAAATGCTTGAAAGGAAATGAATACATTAAATTGAAGTAAAGTTCTGTTATATAGAGAGAGTTGTGCCCTGCTTTTTTTATGGGTTTCTCTCTAGTTACTGGAATCCATTGTTTATGAAACTCAATGCTTCCAAACTGAGCAAAATGGATAGTTGACTAACAAGAAAAGGTTATGTTTGGAAAAAAAATTAAACTTTACAAATTCAACTATGAAAAATAAAGATATAGGTGGGAAAATCTGATAAAAACATATATTTCTGCTATGGGGTGATGTTTTTACTGAAAATATCTTTAATATTCCTATGTCTATAAAAAAGAGAAAATCATTAGGAGACAATGGACAAAGAAAGATGATGTGTCAATTATTAGGATTGAGATAAAATATCACAAAGTGAAAATTAAAGTCATATGTGCATGAGACTCTGCTTTCTAACAAATACATGTTCCAGATAGTCCTCACTTTTCACAATGCTTTTCCAGAAGCAAGGCATTGAAAATGAGTGCTAAAAAGAAAAGTCCTGTTTACCCTGGCCGTATTTTGTCTGTAAACAGACTGTTGCCTCTGCTAAAACGTAAGTTGAAACCAATTGTAATAAGCAGTGCTACACTTTATTAGGTCTTTGTTAGAGAATTAATTAACAGAGTGCCGAAATTTGAGGTGGTGAGAAGAGGGCATGCTTGTATGTGCACTTCACACTTTTAGGGACTATTTGGTCAAATGAGTATGGTGCATTACAGCACAGACTTCTCTGACTTAACCTTTAAGGCAGACTATGATATGGCCCTGCCTAGATAGAGTACCTGCCTCTACTCACACAAAGTCAGCTGCAATCTGTCCTATAACAGTTCACACTAAGCCTATAGTAGCCACAAAAAGACACTAGAAATTCTTACATTTGAATTAAGTTTCTTAATTTAACGACTACTTATTGTGCACATACTATGACTTGTGCGCTATTCTGGAAGCCTGGGATATGTTGATAAACAAAATAGACAAATATTTCTGACCTTGTAGAATTTATATTCTAGTTGGCTGACACAGAAAACAAAAAATAAAAGTAAAAATAATAAGTAATGTTTCATATTAGAAATAAATTCTGTGGAAATAAAAAGGAAAAGGAAATCAGACTATGGGGATTAGGAGAAAAGGTACAATATTAAATAGGGCAGTCAGGGTAGGCCTCATGGAGAATGTCACATTTAGAATGTTCTTATTCCAGAGAGAAGAGATGGAGAAAAGCCTTAAAATGGACACCCGACTTGCATATTCAAGGACCAGCAAAGAGGCTGAGGAAACGAACAGCCAGGATATGTGGAGCCTTGTAGACCACTGTCAAGACTGACTTTTCCTTGAGTGAAATTGAGAATGATTAAATGTTTTTGAATAGAAAATTGATGTGGTGTTATATTATTACATGATGTTACTTATGTCTCAAAAGGATTGCCATGGTTACTCTACTGATCATAAGGGAAAAGGGTAGAAGCAGAAAGACCAATTAGAAGGGTACTGTGATAATCCAAAAGAAAAATGATGGAGGCTCAAGCCTGGGTAGTAGCAAAGGCAATAATAATTCATCTAGTGATCCAATTCTAGTTATATTTATATGGTAGAGCCAACAGGATTTGCTAATATAGTGGATATTGAATATGAAAGAGGGAGGAAGAGAGAGAGACAACCAAGGATGATACCAAGGGTTTTGGCCTCAGTACTTGGGAGGATGGTATTGCCTTCAACTGATGGGGAAAACTGAGAGCAAGTTTAGGAAGAAAGATAATGCTATTAAGATTTAGATACTTAGAGTCTGAGATGCCTAATAGATATCCAAGTAGAAATATAGGGTAGACTCTTGATTTTATGTATCTGGAGGTTAGAAAAGAGATCTGGGCTAGATATAGAAATTTATAGTCTGGATGTAAAATTATTTTTGATGCCATGGCACTGGATGAGATCACCAAGGCAGGGAGCATTGAAAGAGAGTAAAGAGGACCAAGGTCTAAGCACTGGGACACACCTATATTCTACCCCTTGGGGGAAAGAGGAAGAATCAATAAAAGAGACAGAAGGATTGACCAGTGAGGTAGGAAGAAACCAAAGAGAAGGTGGGGTCCTGAAAGCCAAGTGAAGAAAGAAACTCAAGAAAAGCCAGGAACAGCGGCTTATGCCTGTAATCCCAGCACTTTGGGGGACTGAGGCAGAAGGATCGCTTGAGCCCAGGAGTTCGAGACCAGCCTGGACAACATGGTGAAACCCTGTCTCTACCAAAAAAAAAAATACATACATATATATATATATATATATATGTACAATATATATATATATATGTACAATATATATATATATATGTACAATATATATATATATGTACACACACACACACACACACATACACACACACACACACACACACACACACACACACAAATTAGCCAGGCATGGTGACACATGCCTATAGTTCCAGTTACTTGGGGGACTGAGGTGGGAGGATCATCTGAGCCTGGAGACATTGAGGCTGCAGTGAGTTATGATTGCACCACTGCACTCCAGCCTGGGAGACAGAGTGAGATCCTGCCACACACACACACACACACACAAAAATCTCAGGAAGATGTTATCCACTATGTTGACATGTTGCTGGAGGTTAATGGAGTAAATTTACAGAATGCAGAACCCACTCATTAGGATTATGGCAGTAATTAACTAAAGATTCTTTATCGACATAGTTTCATATGATCCTAATCTCTAGAGTTAGATAGGGACTCAAATCCCAACATCACCACTCATCATCTTCAGCTAGTTACTTCATGGTATCTGAACCTACTTTCCTAGATGTCACTCTCACAGATCTTCTGTGAAAATTCAGTGAAATGATTTATGTAGAATCACCTATGAAATGCTTGTGAAGGAATAGGTACTTATCACTTTAAATATACTAATACAAATAATATAAATATTAACATAAATGCAAATAATTTCACAATTATTAGATATTATATTAATTTTATATTATTCACCATATTATATATTATGACTTCTGCTAATTATATTACTCAAAATTCATTTGCTCATTTGTTCTGTCTTATTTCAATTATGTATCCAATATTCTTTAGCATTTACTGTTTGCCAGCCACTAGCACCCAAGAAAACAAAGAGAGACAAAACATAGAACTTATCATTCCTACAATTTAAAGCACACCAGACCCTGCAATAAATATTCTACAGAGTTTATTTTTCCACTTCCTGTGGGGAATTTGAGCAGTGGCTCAATCCCCTACCAGGTAGGTGACCTTAAATAAGTTACACAAACACTCTGATCTTCAGAAAAATGGGACATACTTTCTCTATTTGCAAGGTGGCAGTGAAGATTAGCAAACATATATTAAATCTTCTAGCATCTGTTACTAAGTAGACATTCACAGAAGTATAAGTCTTACTATTAGTGCTATGAATTCTTTACCTTCTCTCAAAGAGACTACAGACTAGCTAGAAATGAATCATTCATGGTTTCTACTTTTATTGGTAGTTGACAAGTTTGTATGCCAATATAACTGATACTTTGACAAACAATACTTTGTTTATAATTACTTATATCCTGTTTCTTTTCACAAAGGATTTGAGACAGCTTAAATGGAGATTTTATAAAGTGGTAGTAATAAACATAGAAAATCGAGAATGCATATATGTAGAACATATATGCTATCATAACCTATTTTTCTATTTGGTCATTTCGTATTTAATTCAGAGTGCCCTGGTATCCAAAACTAAAGAGAAATATAATCAGTAAAAAACAATTCTCATTATCAATAAAGAAGAAGATTCTGGTTGCTCACCAAAAGCAAAGTTTGTTTAACATTGAACTCTAAAAGATATATCTTAGTAGAGGCTTCATAGAATATATAGAGAGTGATGCAGACTATAACTTCAATATTTTTGCAAAAAATTTAGATATGAATATCATACAAATGTTTTCTTGCATGACCTTTCATGTGAAAATGGAATCCTAATGTAAAAACTAATTGAATAGTGATAATTCTATGGCAAACATAACTAACACAAATAGGTAATAATAATGTTGCTTGAAAATCCAAAAATGCTCACCAATTTTTGTGTGCATTTTTATATCTTTTATCCTTGTTTATTTATACATTATATATGTACATATATACACATATATGGTACTATATTTATACCATTTTAGAATTCCTAGAGCAATGAATGGGTTTTAAATCATCTACAGTAAGTATGGCTTCTCTTCTCAGATTTTCAATGGGAGCTGAATGGCAGACAAAGGCTAAGAAATGGTGTTCTGTACTGTTGGATGAGAGCAGAAGAATATTTTTTAGAAACCAAACTAATGAGGTTAGGGTGACATTCTATTAGAAAATGTGTGACCTCTCCAGGATTTTCACTTAGATGGACATCCAGGTAGGTACACTCACCAAGATGGCTTGCAGACCCAGAATTTTTCTCAGAATTTTTAAAATATTTGCATGGCACTTTATTTATTATTTTTATGTTTATAGATTTAGGGGATACAAGTGCAGATTTTCTACATGCATATACTGCATAGTGGTGAAGTCTGGGCTTTTAATGTTCACCTGAATAGTGAACATTAGACCCAGTAGTCAATTTTTCAACCCTCACTTCCCGTCCCACCCTCCCTGCCACCTTTTGTAATCTTCAGCAGGAAGTTTGGATCAACGATCACATAAACAAATGCTCCTTTGAAGTCCCAATGACAAATCCATTGGAAATGTGTCTTCAAGAGTATAACACTAGAATTTTCTTTACATAAACCCATATACTCACAAAGATCTCCGGGGCCTGGTTCACATGTGAAAGAGAACATCCAAATCTTGCTGTTCTCGATTTTCATATTAATTTCTAACATTCTGGCTTGCAAAGATTTTTTTTGTTGTGTCTTTTATTTGTGGTTGTTGCTGCTGTTATTAATTCCGCCTCCATTTTAAAAGTTACTGGCCAATCCTGATTTTCCTTTAAAAAGATACTCTAGATGTTATTGGGGAACTGTCAGAAATAATGAAGAAAAATCCTAATGTGCTGTCCAACTGAAGTCCATCTTTTGAGATGAAAAACACTCATAATGAAAATGAGTTGACAGCTTACTTGATGATATTTACAGCTGGATATGACGTCAATCGGAAGGATAGTACAGATCAATTTTAATGGCAAGCAGCTAAGCACGCTTATTGATCTGGCGGCTTGCTACTCTACAAATGGCAAAGACCATTAATATGCTAGCACCTGGGACATGGAAGAAGCATAAAACAACAAGTGACTTTGAGGCTTAAAGAAGATAATTTAAGAGTGCTGATTTGAGGATCACAAGGGAAAGTGTGAATTCATGATTTAACCTCCATTCACTACCTCTCAACTAAAAATTGATCGCCATCCTAGGAGTCATATTTCATTTGAGATAAATTTAATATATTTCATAATTTCCTCTCTAAGTCCTTTGCTTTAAGGGATGCCATTTGCTGTCCAGCTAATCCTAAAGTAGTTTTCTTTTTCTTCTGGAAGAACAGGATCACTTCTGCTAAAGAAGTGACCATGTAGATAAAAGATGAATCAAAAGCATATAAGAAAAGCATGTATCCCCCTTGTCTGCTTCCATATTTCCTTTCTACCCTATAAGGACAATAACATTAGTCCCTCCCCGGAATATAAAAATGGATAAGATCATGTCTATTACATGCTGCTAGAAGACATTTATTTTAGAAACCAGTAAAAGCTGTCAGTAGTACCCACATGGTAGTCAATATTACAAATATATATCACTTGAATGTGGCCGCTGCTATTGAAACTAAACTTTTCCTACTCTGGAGGACATGTGAATACCCCACGGCTCACCAAATACACTTTTCATTCAGACATCTTGCATTGTATTTTAATATACCTAATGGAGTCTTACCAAATGGATGTTAGGTGGGCTGTCTGTAATAATGAACTTCCTAACCTCCAGAGATGCAGTACATCTGCTCAGATCAAAATGTGTTGTTTATGAAGCTCCCACACTCTGGAGACATATGTACAGTACCAATGTGAAAATAACAAGTTTCAAACTCTTCAAATGGTTCCTAGTCAGCCAGGAAGGAAGCATTAACCCTCACAATGTGGAATAAATTCTTCTGCAAATTTACAAAAGGTTTACATTCTTATTAACAGTATCTGATGTACAAAGACATCTAATATACATGGTCATCATTGATAGGGAAAACTGATAAATTTCAGTCTCAAGAGCTTTGTACCTTCCTGTATAAATCCAAATAGCCAATTAAAGTGAGAATAGAGAACTAAGTCAGGAATTCATAACGATTTACAATCTCTTATAATCAATATTTTCCCTTCTTAATGCTGACTGTTAGATTGAATGTGATTCTGATTTGTTCTTTTAAGAAATAAATAAACAACCACTCACTTCACCAATATGCATATTCTCCATACCTGTTGGTTAGTACCCAGTGATGACCCTCATAAGACATTTGAAGCTACTGAGCCATTTATAAATCTCGGTATTAATCTCCAAATGTAAAAAGGAAGCTCCAGATACTATAATACTATCACTAATCTATTATTTTCTAAATGCCAATTCTACTTTGTCCTGAATATTTTTCCTATTACTTTATTTATTAGGATTGTTACTTTACTCTCTAGCAAAGTTTGGATAAATCAAAATAATTTCTTTTCTTGAAAGCACATATCTTATTAATAATTTTGAAGTCAATGGATATTGGGAAAGAATCCCTAAAATATTATAGATATGTACCTTATTTCTCGCATCCTTTTCTATAAGGTAACACAACATTAGAATGTATTAATACTCATATGGTGTAACAGCACTCCAAACTCCAACACTTATGAAAAATAGTTTATTGAATAAATGAGTTAGAGCTAACAAAGTATTAGAATATGAAATGTCATATTTCATACATTAAATGTGAAAGACTTTAAAATTATCAGAGATGTTAAAAATATTTGTTTAATTTTAAATTGAACATTTTAAATTTAGAATTAAAAAAAATTAGTTCCCCGTGTAGAGATCTTTCACTTCCCTAGTTAGCTATATTCCTAGGTATTTATTCTTTTTACGGCAGTTGTGAATGGGAGTTCATTCCTGATTTGGCTCTAGGCTTGATTGTTGTTGGTGTAGAGGAATGCTAGTGATTAAAGATGTTAACAGTGAAAAATCTCAAATAAGCTGAATGCCATTGGTGCCTTGACCACAGACTGGGTCGGTGTGAGTTGTCATGAATGTTGGAGGATTAACCTTGACATTCCCAGCCACCTTACCGGGAAAATCTTACATACACATGTGTGTGCGCACACACATACACACACACAAGACACAAGGTGGAATGAGCAGCTTACAGCCAATAACTGACTCAAATACTTAGGTAAGGCCAAGTACTTACCTAATTATAAGAGGCTCTATCTATGGTATTTGCTCCAGTATTCCCTGTGGAATCAGGTTGAAACCAGAAACATCCTTGTTTAGATCCTTTTCCTACCATATCCTAATTCCCCTCTACCTTTCTCTGATGACTATTCACTTAATAAACAATATACACCCAAATTCTTATCTCAGGCTCTGCTTCTAAAGAATCTGAACAAAATATCAAGCAAGTGCTGGAACTGTCAAACACAAGAAAAAGATATACTTCTCATGCTCTTTTGTAACAAAGAATATGTTAGCATTAATTTTATTTTGTTTTTGTTTTAGTAGGCAGTTTTCGAAAAATGTTAGTATAATAAAATGAAACCATGGCAATCAATGGAATAATTTCATACATAAGAATTCATATTTCCAGCTCTAGAAATTTTAACCTGCTGTGAGTTCTAGCCTTGATATCTGGCCTCTTGCCACCCGCTAAGGCCAAAGTTCCAGCAGTGGCTTTGCTGAAGTTTATTTCCAAACTCAGCCCATACTGATCACTCAACTTCCCCCTTCACTCAGCCTCTATCCTGCTCTATTCACTATTTTATATTATTATATCTATCACTTCCAGGGCAAGGACTTGAGCAGTACCTTAGACCATAGAACTTATTAAATATCTGTCCAATCTATTCATTTCACTACATGAGCTAATAACTGAGGTATAAAAGAGAAAGCAGGAAAAGAGATGTCCACTCAGTAACTACACAGCTAGAGAGAAAAGAATGGGAAGTCAGACATTTCCATATAAGTTCTACGGGAAGAGACAGAGACCTGTTCCTAATCATTGTCACTGGCTCCAGAGAGAGCTAGAGAGGAGGGGGGATGCCAATATTAAATTACTCATGACTCCTCTTGACCTCAAAAAAGAATATTTATTTCCCTTCGGTTCACATATGCTTCCCAGAACTGAGCTTCCTGGAATTTCTATTAAGAATCTAGATTACATAGCAATAATTTTCAGGTGCCACAATCTCTACTAATAGTAAGCTGCAAAAGAAGTGGTACCCTGTGGACAGCAGAAAGGAGACAAGTCATAGAACAGTCCAGAGCTGCAGAGATTTGGAGACAATTTGAATGGATATGAATGAAGGATAGAATTTACAACAGGTAGAAATCACAGTCCAAAAATTCCAGGTATAAGAAATAGACATTTTCTTATTTTTCCATAAGCCAACTTCATTTCTCTTTCAAGCTTTATCCTTGATTCTGCCTAGTTAGCAGAAGATTTAATCTTCCTATTTGGGGAGGCTTCCCCTCTTCTTCCTCAAGGTTAGTTAGTGTTCGAGGAGATCTGCATAGGGCGGGGTATTTTGAAAAGACCTTGTGAGTAGGAAGAGAGCCATGGCTGGTAGTCACAGTTTGTGGGTGACTCGTCTCTTGTTCCTGTCCACCCAGCTCCTTGGACCAGCAGCCTGCTTGCAAGGCCTTTCCTGTGCATTTCTATGGGGCTGCCTAGATGCATGTTTCAGCCATTCCCTCTCTGGGGTCATGCCAACTGTGCAGGCTGTAGCGCCCCTTTCTCAAGAGCTTACTGCCCTCTCCACTGTCATCACTAATCTGTATCTCTTCTCCTTCTCCTGGTCCAGGGGAATGTTTTCTAGTTTCAGGAAAAAATCTTTCCCTTTTTTCTTAATGCTTGCCACAAAAGCACTCCCTTTATCTTGTAGTTTCAGGTGTCTGTAGGGTCTCAAGCTTGTTGGGGGTCTCAAATTTTGTCTGCCATCCAGTGGCAGATTTTCATAGGGGAATAAGTGTATATTTTGCTCTTGGGCTCTATCTTTATTTCTTTTCTAAGAATCACGTGCTGTGGTCTGAATGTTAGTGTCTTCCCAAAATTCATATGTTGAAATCATAGCCCTTGATGTTATGGTATTAGGAGGCTGGGCCTTTGCAAGGTGATTAGGTCATGGCCAAGTCCTTATGAATGGGATGAGTGGCCTGTAAGTGAAACCTCAGAGAGACCCTCACTCCTTACTGTGACAGCACAGTAAGAAGGTGCATCTATAAGAAATGGGCCATCACAGAACATTTAATCTACTGACATCTTCTTCTTGAACTTCCCAGCCTCCAGGACTATGGTTAACAAATTTCTGTTGTATATAAGCCACCCAGTTTATGATATTTTATTATAGCAACCTGAATTTACTAAGACATAAGTAATATGTCTTCTAATATCTCCAATTAAAAAAGCTCTTACAAATCAGTATTTCTCAGAGGTGGTGAGTTCGTGTCATCTCCAATTTTAAAAAGTTGATGGTCCAGCTTGAAATTATAGAAGTGTGTTCCTATTTAACTGTTCTTACTCATAAGGTGATTGACTGTTCCCAGAAAGGCCCGCGAAATACTCCCTTTGAATGTTTACGATCATGATTCCTGTACATTGAAAAGTCTGTTAATAGTATATTTGTGTGTCTTTCTACCTTTCCCATTAGAAAGTGCCTGCCAAGTAAATCTTCAATATTTCCGACATAAAAAAATGAGAATGGAAGAGGACATTCCTGGCAAAGATAAGAGGCAAAGAACATGGGCAGCATTTTCAAGAGATGCTGGTTTAGCCTTCAGACAGAACCAACAAGGGCAAGTCTAGAGCCACCTTTAAAACAGTTTTAACAGTTACCCATGTCAGAAATTCCAAAAGCTGTGCATTATGAGAAAAGTTATTTTACTATGCAGGAAACGAGTTTTCATCCATGGAATTAAAGAGTTAAAATATTTTCTTTCTCTAACTCGCAACCAGTAAAATTTCTTAGAAATCCTAAGAGATGAAATGGAACCAAGTCAAAAGTCAGTCCCTTTTCTTTTTCATTTATTTCAATCTCTTTTCACAGAGACAACCATTGAGACAAGTATTTTTTTATGTCAACTCACTGAGGACTGACTGCAGTCGTCGGAAAGACACAATAATTGATTTCAATAATTAATTCTTGCTTGCTGAAGTAATGTTGCTTATGCACTTCTCCTCAGGCCCCAGTTAAAAGGAATTCAGAGGCAGGAGTGCATAAACAGCTACATTACTTTGGGGAGCTAAAGTCCCCTAACATACTGTAGATTTGGGAAGAGCTTTTAGGCCTGGGGCTATTTGAAGTTAATTCCTATAAGGTCTCCTGTTACCTCATGTTGTCCATGATTTCCTAACCACTTCAGAGAAGTAGAAAGCTGAGTGGAAAGCGAGACACTTTTGCAACAATTGATCTCACCTCACTCAGAAAATATATGTTTGGACTAGACCAAAAGCTCTCTCAAAAACAAGAGAGAGAAAGGGCTCTGGAAGGGAGGGCATCAGGGAGGAGGAGAGCTGGAAGAGGAAAAATAGTTGGAGATGAATGTCAAGAGAAAAAGTGGAGAATGCTATTTGGGAAACCAAATGACTGGCCTCTTTTCATTGAAAGGATTTCTAAAACCCAAACTACTTCCAACTGTAGTCAAAAATGTTAAAGTAGAGTCAGTTTATGGCCCTTTCCTAAAGGATTAAATAGTCTATGCTATCTTGCATGCCCAATCCAAACTAAAACTAAACTGACTCCATATGACAATATTTTATTATTTCCTCTAAGCTATTTCCATACATCTTTTAAAATAATGCTTTGTACACTTTCATACAACCATATAAAGGTAAAACTGAACTAAAATACTATGCTGTAGAATATTTATTATTAAAAAAAAAGGCTGTTAAATACCCAGATCTTTGCAAATTTAACAGTGAAAAATAACTTTAAACCTGCCCACAGATATACCCAGCTCCCCTTGTCCCAAAATGTGTCACAACATAGACTTTTCACTAATTGGGGAATTTACAACCCCAAGCTGATTGTGATGTCAATGCTTTATTGTAAATTAAGGCAGATAAAGGACTGGAAAGCATAAATGGAAAGCAGGCCCTTATTAGGCATTGGCCCACGCATAGTCATGCCCAGGTACAAGAACCAACCTCTTGTTACTACTGGTCCCAGGGCGATAAAGTTCCTGATGTAAAGAACAGATTAAAAGTAAAACTAGACCAGATGTTTTTCCTATTAGATGGATTAAGTCAGACCAAACCTAAAATTAGGAAAACAGGCAGGGCTGATTTACTGCTGTGCTGGGATGGGTGGCTGCGCTGGGAGCCGTAGCCGGTGGCTGCAGAGCAAGATCTCTGTTTATTAATGGGACTGTGGGAGCAGGAAGGCCTCGCCCCTGACTGCTCCAAAACTGCTGAATGAGAACTCCAGCCTGGTGATGAAAGCTGCTCTCTGAAGGTAGACCCTCAGTAAAAACATTAAAATCTACTTCAAACACAGCTGATGGTATAAGGGGTAGAGAAAAAGTCCAAGTTTACTATCTTCCTTAATAAAAATATCTCAGGAATAAAAGTACCAAATTAGCCCAGCTCAAAGGATTATTTTTCTTAAACTCTTGTTATGACTGAGAAAGTCAACTTCATTGAGACTTATGTAGGCCAGACTCAGACAATTCAACTCCAAAGTGTTTCTTTGCATGCTGAGCTCTGAGAGTATTCAGTGGAATATTGATACCTTAAGAGTGAGCCAATTTTACCTCACTGGATAGAAGCGGTGAGACCAGTTTCAAAAAAATAAAAAGTCCCGCTGTTGTTGTAACCACTAGTCCTTTGACGAATGCAGCAGCAGCTGAGTGTAGCTTCTTGCCCGGAACTTGACACAAGAAGAAAGAATTATTTGAATAGCAGCCTGTTATCTTGAAATACAGGAAAACCTAAAACATGCTTTCACAGACAGTGAAATAAGTGTAATATCAAACAGTCTTTTTGACAGGTGCATCTTTGGAATAGTCTTCCTCAAAAAGTACTAAATTGTTCATATCTTAGGCACTTTTCAGTATCTGTAAGTTAGTTTTGTTGTTATTGTTTGTTTTGTTTAAGCTTTTGTTGTGCATCCTCAGAACCAGCTTTAATGTAATGGAAAAGATATGTGGATACAAACCCAGACCTGGGTTGGAACTCATGAGCTGTCACTTAATAACTATGACTTTAGATATGTCACACAAACTCTATGAGCCTGTTTCCTTATTAGCAAGAATAACCTGAAATGTACGTCCCAGGATGGTTATATGGGTGAGATAAGATGATGCCTGTAAAGAGCACAGGGCCAGAGAATAGAAATATATTATCAGTAGGTTTGCACCAACTATATGCTTGCCCACCTCCTTTATATTTGCAATATCAGGCCAGTTGTCATGAGAAAAGTGTGCTGAAGATCACATCAACCACAAGGCTTGCAAGAAAGCAAACCTTCAGTGTTCTCCCAACCATACCCACAGTCATGGGGGCTCCTGGGAAGACTATGTTTTTCTTGCTTTTTCAGAGAGAGTATGCTAATGATTTTTCAAACTTTTACATTTTTTCATCCTTCAAAAGTCTTTATAGGATTAAATGACTGTCACCTTTTGCTGATCAGGACTGAGTTATGGTAGACTCCATGGATATATGGCTATGCCTAGAGTCAGAACTGTCCTCAGGCAATCAAGGAGGTCCAACTCACATGTTGGTAGGAGAGAAGGGGATATAGACAAGCCCCAATATAAGACCAATAACCAGCAAAGGTTGTGTACATGGCTGAAAGCTGAATGCCTAAGCTGGACGCAAGAGACAGGAAGGCAAGTGAAGGGAAGTCACGGCTTCCAGGGAGTTAAGAAGCAAGCCAGGGAAAAGAATTAAAGATAAATGGACACAAAAAAGAAGAAAACTAGTTCTCTCTGTCTCTTGTCCTCTCTGTCTCCCTCTCTCTCTCGCTCTCTCTCTAGCATATACACACACATACACACACACGCGCGCTGATAGGACGGTACCTCCAGTTTTGCCTTTCTTGCTGCAACAGGAAACTTCAGAGAACAATCTTTATAGGTGAGGTAAAATGACACAACAAATACTGTACTGAAATTTTTAAACAGGCATTTGGGAAATCTGTTGTTTGTATTCATAAGCTGTTTGTCAGCAGATGGAAAAATATTACTTTTTAAGGAACAAATGATTACCACCTAATTTATGGCATATATTAACTCAGAAATATAGCTTCCCTATTACTTGGGGTGGTGGACACACATCAGAAATTACCGTATAGCAATGTAAGTATTTGTTGTACCTGGACATGTTAGTTTGGACCTCATCTGTGTTGCACCAATGATCAGGCACACCACTTTGAAGTGTTGGACCTTATAAATTATTTTCACTTGTAGAATGCCAGAAATGTGACCTATATCTAATATGACAGACTTTATTCCAAAATAGACATAGTCAATGCATGGTTAGAATATGTAGTAAAACAGCTACATATTGTAAAATAGCTACAATAATGTGCTGGTGGTGGTGTCATTTAATGAAACTTGAAATTTGTCATTTCAGTTGGGTTCTTGATATTTAATAAGATTGCTCAGGCTTTGGAGAAGGATATTTAGTCTCCCCAAAAGAATCTGTCACTAGACATTCCATGTTAAAATAAACATATACTAAAAGCATCATTATTTGTGATCTTCCTTGTACTTAATATTTCCTTCTTAAGTCTAAAATTCTTGCAGCCTTTTCTAGCTAATCGAGTTAAGTGCAAATTTATGTCACTGTCACAATACTTAATCTAGCTTTGCACTATGGTATACACAAATGTACTTGTGAGTATGAGGAGGCAATGGAGTTAGAGGAGAGGGTCATGTATTTATGTGCTGGTGAAGGATCTCTGTAAGACTGTCATCACTCAAAAGCCACAGTCTCCTTCAGAACAAGTTACCCCATCGCTAACCACATTTTTTTTAGTGAAAAGTGCTGATTAGTTCATAACACCCACACTAGGTAACACAGACATCTCTCTAATTTTTTCACATAGTAATGAATATTCTAGATTTTAAAGAACTATTGTGGAAACTCAGCAGTTAATGGATCATATTCTGATTATACACTATTTTCATTAACACTTAGTGTAGTCCTATATTGACCTTTAAAAGTAAATCATTTAAGTAGATGAAACATGTTTGATATCCATCTTTATCAAAATTCCAAATTATATATCAAGGCTTATAAAAGGCATAGCTTCTGTGTTCTTTTTATAACTGTTGCTACAGTAATCACAAGGCTGAATATGATCTTGAGAACTACCTGCACATCCTCCTGTCTAGAGATAAGACTATACTTAACCCAGAAAGATAGCTGTTCATCCTGTTTTTTAAAACCTCAGAGGAAGCATATAGTCCTTAGATTATCATGGTAACTATGCAATATCTGTGAGTAATAATACAACTGCCTTTTTTATGGCTACTGCATTAAGAGTATTTCTGCTCATTCCATTTTAAATTCTGTTCATATGTAAGTGTGAATTCACTGTTAAACAGATGTATAACCTATGAAACTCAAAGAAGAATAGAATTTCAAAGAATGAAAATTGTTCTACATGAAAATCTTGTTCTATTACTTTGGCAGTATTAGACCGCTAAATTAATAAAGATGTTCGGGTGTAATTCTCCTTACACAGTGAAATACTGAAAATGCCTATAAAGTGAATCATATTGAAAGCTGTTTAAAGGATCCATGTAGGAAATACTTTAATAAAATAAATATTTTTATGAATTCAAGCATATATTTGCCTAAAGTGATACTCACCTGTATTCAAGTTTATTTTCATATTCAAATTAACTGTCACACCAAATTGTATCGATCCCTTTTCTACTGGGCCATGAGGAAGTCAAATTTGGACCTACAAAAGGGATACTAGAGATACCTGTGCACAGCACAAATTTTCAGCCTGATTTTTTTATTACAGGATTGTTTTTAAAGTTATTTACGGCCGGATGCGGTGGCTCACGCCTGTAATCCCAGCACTTTGGGAGGCTGAGGCGGGCGGATCATCTGAGGTCGTGAGTTTGAGACCAGCCTGACCAACATGGAGAAACCCTGTCTGTGATAAAAATACAAAAAAAAAAAAATTAGCCGGGCGTGTAATCCCAGCTATTTGGGAGGCTGAGGCAGGAGAATCGCTTGAACCTGGGAGGTGGAGGTTGTGGCAGCCGAGATCATGTCATTGCACTCCAGCCTAGGCAACAAGAGCGAAACTCTGTCTCAGAAAAATAAAAAATAACAAAATAAAGTTATTTATTTTTTACAAAGTAAACATTGTATAATACAAAATTCAAAAAGGACAAATGAGAATAGAGTGAAAATTAAGTCATTCTTTGTTACAGGCTGGATTTTGTCCCTTCCAAAATTTATATGTTGAAGGCCAAACCCCCAGTACCTCAGAACATGACTATTTGGAGGTAGTAAATTGAAATGAGGGCTTTAGGGTGGATCCTAATCCAATCTTACTGGTGTTCTTATAAAAAGAGGAAATTTGAACCTACAAAAGAGATACTAGAAACACCTGTGCACAGAGGAATGACCATGTGAAGACCCAGCGAGAAGGTGGCCATCTATAAGCCAAGGAGAGACCTCAGAAGAAACCAAACCTTGTTGACAACTTGATCTTGGACTTCCAGCATCCAGAACTTGTGAGAAAATAAATATATGTTGTTTAAGCCATATCTGTTGTACTTTGTTGTGGCAGCCCTGGAAAACTAATACATCATTTCACCACCATTCCTCAGCCACGTAATTGGCTGGAGGCAACAACTTTTATGACTTTAAGTATTATTCCAAGGAGATTTTATGCAATATACAGGCAAATATAAGACACATGCATATGTAATACTATACATTCTGTTCTGTGTCTCCCATTTTCACCTAGTAATCTATTTGTATGATCATTTCATATCAAAAGGTATTATTTCATGGATACATAATGTTCCTTTGTATTAATGTACTATCATTTATTTAACTACTTCTCTATTAACGGATATTTAGATTGATTCCAATATGTTGTTATTATAACACAGAGTACAGTGGATATTGCACATGTGGTCACATTTGTATGAATATATTTGTAGAAGATATTTCTAGAAGTAGAATTGCAGAGCAAAAGATATGTGTATTTAAAATTTATAACAAATTGCCAAATGCCTACCATAGAAATTACAGTAATTTAGACTCACACAAAAACAATATGTGAGAGTGGCTATTTCCTCACATTCTCATCAACACTGGGATGTATAAAACTTTATATATGGTATCTTATTATAAGTTTAAGAGTATTTCTATCATTATGAATAAGATTAAGCTTTTTAAAAATCTTTTAAGCACTATTTGGATTATCTTTTCCGTAAGCCATTTGTTCATATTCCATTCACTTTGTACTATTGGATTAATTTGATAAATTTCTTACATATTAAGGACATTAGCCTTTGTTCTATAATATATGTTTACCAATTATTTTTTCAGAGTTTATTTATTTTTTGTGTATGTTTATGATGCTTTTCTCATGTACACTTTATGGCAAATTTTTCAAGTTTTTTAGATTTCTAAGTTATCTCACATTTAAAAAGCCATTCCCCACTCTGAGATTTTTTAAGTCTCTATTTTCTTCTAGTAACTTAATGCCTTCAACTTTTTCATTTAAATGTTTGATCTATCTAAAATATATTTTGTTGAAAGAAAGGAGGTAAGTAGAGCATGGATAATTTTTAAAGATGTTTAATTTCATTGTCCCAATACCTCTTATTGAATAACCCACATTTTCCTCATGGATATGGAATTTCACATTTATTAAATATCTGTTTTATTTCTATCCATTCCTGAACATTGGTTCTGTTTCATTTCTCTGTGTGTATGCTCATTTCAATGCCTAAGAGTTTTAGTTATTGTAGCATTATAAGTTTCAATATCTAGGAAAGCACAAATCTCCTGATGACTTTTCTACTTTTGAATTTCCCTGACTTATTTATGTATATTTATTCTTCAAAAATGTCTTTTACATCAGCTTGTCTAGTTGCCAAGAAACCATTTGGATGCCATTAAATGTATCGATTATTTTAGTAACAATTGATACCTGCAGTACTGAGTCTATGTAATATTGAAAAATTCCTTTCTAGTTATAGCATCTTAGCATTTCCACTTAGTAACATGTCGTTTCCTTTATATCAATCTTACATATTTATTGTTTTATTTACTGCTAGGTATCTTACCATTTTGTTGCCTTTTTAAATTGAAAAGTTTTGAAATGTTCATTAAAAATACTGAAACTGACATATAAATACAGAAATCACATTTTGAGACAGAAAAGAGATTACAAATAAACAACACTTAATCACACAAACAAAAATCAGACTTCTCATTTGCAACGTCTGAAGTTACAAAATGCTAGAAGTCAAAAAGAGATTACTGATGGAAAAAAATAGTCATATATCAGGAAGGAAAATCATTTTAGACTAAAAAAAAACCAGAGAGGAATCACAGAGTCACTCTGTGTCAAAAATAAATAAATAAATAAGGACTAACCGAATATAAATGAGCCAAAAATCAGACTTCATAATGATGAACGATGAAGAGGAGAAGGGAGCATGACATACATGTCAAATGATAGATAGATAGACATAGACACTGAAAGATAACAGAAATATGTTATATGAATGTTTTTATGTCATTTAAAACTGAAAACAGAACAAAAAAATACAGTCCAGAACCAAAAAACCCACTAAAGTATCTAATTGAAACTTAGAAATTGGGTTAAGTAAGAAGTAAGAAGAAGACATAAATGTTCTAAAACTTGATTGGGGCTGCAGGTGTGGGGCTGTGGGGAGGATGACAGAAGTAAAATTATCCCAACAGTTTCACTATTTGGAGAGGTGAGAAATTAAAGGAAAATATGGTATCTTGCTGAATGAAATGGTATCTTGTTTTCAAACAACAGTAGAAGAATATGTGCCTGAACATGAGAGCTGGGAAGGTGACCATAAATTACACGGAAAATCAGAAGAATTTCAAAATTAACCATGATGAGCAAAGAGAATAAATAACAACTTAACTGAATCGATGAAAATAAGATAGAAGAAAATGAGGGGGAAAACAAGTTAAATTAATACATAAAGCAAAATGAAAGGCATAAAATAAATCAAATTGGTCATTACACTAAATAGACAAAATCACCAACTAAAAGATAAAAACTACCAAATTGGATCTACAAAACAAAATCGGTTCTACGTAGTTAATAAGAAATATACTTAAATTTAAAAAGAAAAATTGAAAAGAGACATGAGGCAAGTGCAAACCAAAAAATAAATAGTGCTGTAGTTTAAATATGTCCCCTCCAAAAGTCAAGTGTTGCCAATGTGATGGTATTAAGAGGCAGGACCTTTAGGAGGTAATTAGGCCATAAGGGCTCCTCCTTCATTAATGGGATTAAGGCTCTTATAAAACAGGCTCCATGCAGCGTTTGGCTAGCTTGTCCTTCCACCTTCTGCTATGTGAGGACACAGGATTCCTACCCTCTGGAGGATGCAACCCTCACTAGGCAACTGAACCTGCCAGCACTTTTATCTTGGACTTCCCAGCCTCCAGAATTGTAAGAAAATAGATTTCCTTCTTATAAATTACCCAGTCTCAGATATTCTATTATAGCAGCACAAATGAATTACAACAAGTAGTAATGGCAATATTATTATGAGATATGCTGGAATTTAAGTACTTGAATAGTTGTAATACACTTAGCTTTTGTTCACATTAGTATGGGAATGGGCTAACTAAAGTTAAGCATATTTTAGGTTCAAGATGTCTGTCTCGGAACCTAGCCAAAGTACCTGGTTTATATACCTGGGAATGTATAATTTAGCATTTCCCAAAATTATTTGATTACTTTTGTGGAGCAAAGGCAAGTGAACTGTGGAATTTCCTGATTTGGGGGATGAGGAGTGACAATTGCCCAATGCAGTCCTCTAAGTATGAAACTGCAATGTCCGTGGTAGTGCTCAGGTTGTTTTCTTTTGATCAATTTCTTGGATCTTTTAAGAATTTCTTCTTTTAAGAACTACCACAAGACCACTTTTGAGTTTTAAATTTTGTTGCTCTTTTTTAGGCCTGGTAAAAATGACCTGGAAAGGTATGGGAAGTGTTTAGTACTCCATATTTGATTTTTTTGCTGGGATGGTCTGAAAGGAAATATGGGAATAGGTGTGAGCAAACACACAATTTAAAAATCAATATGGGCTGGGTGTGGTGGCTCACGCCTGTAATCCCAACACTTTGGGAGACTGAGACGGGTAGAATACCAGAGGTCAGGAGTTTGAGACCAGCCTGGACAACACGGTGAAACCCCGTCTCTACTAAAAATACAACAAAAAAATCAGCCACGCATGGTGGCAGACACCTGTAATCCCAGCTACTCGGGAGGCTGAGGCAGGAAAATTGCTTGAACCCGGGAGGTGGAGATTGCAGTGAGCTGAGATCGCGCCATTGCACTTCAACCTGGGTGACAGAACAAGATTCTGTCTCCAAAAAAAAAGAGAAGAAGAAGAAGAAAGAAGAAGCGGAAGAAGAAGAAGAAGGAGAAGGAGAAGAAGGAAGAAGAAGAAGGAGAAGGAGAAGAAGGAAGAAGAAGAAGAAGAAGGAGAAGAAGAAGAAGAAGAAGAAGAAGAAGAAGAAGAAGAAGAAGAAGAAGAAGAAGAAGAAGAAGAAGAAGAAAAGAAAGAAGAGGAAGAGGAAGAAGAAGAAGGAGATCAATATGGACATGTACATTGAATAAAAGTGGAAGCAATTCAGCACCAAAAACAAGGAAATCCAAATCCCCATGCTACCTGCCACCAAGTAAAAATGGAGCTGTTTTAGTCTGGTATTTTCCCCCCAGTGCTTGGAACATTGGACAGAGTTATCTTAGAGCAGCATCTCTAAAAACTCTGGCTGGAAGAAGCACAAGAGCATGATCAACCAAGCAGCAAAGACTCAAGGATATACGTGAAGGTAGGGGGAGAAAAACAAATAAAAGACAAATGGCTCATATAAAATAGTAGATTATTTCTTAATAACCAGACAGTTTAAGGCAGGTCTATTTCTTCTTAGCTCGTGGCTCCCTACCACGTGATAATTCAGGAAAAATGGTGCCTTCCACTTTGCGGCTCCACAATCTTCTAAATCTTTCTGGTTATTTGCATTTAGCCAGCAGAAAGGGGAAGGAGGGCATGAAGAATACATGCCTGCTTCTCAAAAGCCTTGGCCCAAAAATGGCACAGATTATTTCAACTAACTTTTCACTTACTAGAACCCAGACAAATGGTTTCACCTAACTGCAAAGGAAGATACAAAATGTATTCTGCTTATGTGACTGAAAGAAGAAAAACACATCGATTTGGTAAGCAGCTAGCAGTCTTTGCCAAAAAAGGCAATGAATCTTCTATCAAGCAAGACATCAAAGTTCTGCACTGTAACTTGCAAGATGTAACTGAAATAGCACAAAATAGTGCCTGGAGAATGGTAAAATGGAGATCTAAAGAGAAACAACAAGTGTACTTTCTTTTGTTTTATTTTTCCTACAAATTAGTTCCCCAGACAAAAATCTCATTTGTTTCTTCTTTATTTATTTTAATTGACAAATTAAAATTGTATATATTTATGATGTATAACATGATGTTTTTGAAATATGTATACATTGTGGGTGACTAACTTAAGTCAATTAAATATGCATTACTTCACTATACTTACCATTTATTTGTCTTGAGAACACTTAAAATCTACTCTGTTATCAATTTTCAAGTATATAATACATTGTTATTAACTGTAGTGTTCATGTTGTACAGTAGATCTCTTGAACTTATACATCCTATCTAACTGAAATTTTGTATCTTTTAACCAACATCTCCTGACCCACCTCCGCAGCCCTGGTAAGTACCATTCTACCCTCTGCTGCTATGTGTTCAACTTTTCAGATCCACTTTCCATGACCAAATAAACCAATAGGAGCAACTCTACCATGAACAATAAGTAAACCATCCAGATTCCACTGTGCAGGTGAGGATAGTTACCACCAACACCTCCAAAGAAACCATAAATCAGCTCCAGAAGACACTTAAGCTCTAAAAAGAACTGCCTCTGTGTTGCATTGAGGTTCAAATTTTATATTAATAACATAATGAAAGACCCTGGTTACTGTCTATAAGATCAGTTAAGACAAGAGCCAAGGAAAAGGATATACACAGATGTTTAGTACCATTAGTTTTATGTCCACATTTTAAACAAATATATCAATGTGAGATATATTTCCTTAGCAACAGTTGATACAAAGAAGATCAAGGACAACTGAAGCAGTCATTGTCCAACTTTCTTAAAGGTTAAAAAAAAATTCACCCTTTCAAAAAGTTCCTGGTGAAACTTCTAAAGTTTAAGGAGAATTTGGATCTCAGAATCTGGCCCAAGGTCCAAAAATATGGGACCAATGGATCTGGAAAATATACTCATCTGGTATCACTGTAAAAATCAGGTATGGATAGGTTGTTCTCCTGACAGAAGAAACCATCAAGAACTACAGAAATGGATCAGCATGACTATGCACCCCATAACAGTCTATTTTCACCAGGATATGGTGGGGATCTCTGAAGAAAGCCCAGAACTTAAATAGAAACTTGGGGTTTTGCTGGCACTTTTAGGTGAAGAGGAACCCAAAAATCTTTGCAATATACCAAAGAAGGAGAGACAAAATATCTCGGTTTGTACTCACGGTCAAGACAGGGTGTTGCCTGCTCTTTTGACCAGTTCAACGCCCTCCAATCCTTTCCTAACAATGTGACCAATCCTTGATAATGCTGGTAGGCCTCTATCTCCACCAGATAAGCCAGGCAATGGTTCTTGTCTCCTTTACCAGCCTGCATCACTGACACTACCTTTTGGAATCTGTAGTAGGCTAGCTTGATTCCACCCAAACCCTCATGGTATTCTTCTCTACATTTTCTGCTCTCAATATTGTGTATAATAAAAAGAAGTGGGGTGAAGGCAAGAAGTTAAAAGAAGTAGGCAATTAAAAAGAGCTCATACAGCACCCAACTCATTGACTGTAGGGACTAAAGACTCTATCCATATATTGTATATTTGCCCCATACTCCAGTTCTGAGTAAATGCACAATATTGTTTGACTAACTGGATATGAACTACCAAATCAAAGAAAGAGTCTAGTCTATCAAAAAAACAGCTTGACTCTTTTGGATTGATTCAATCATTCAAAATCATTTGATGCATGTAAATAGCATTTCAAAAACACATAAGGCTTCCAGTTTTAAATCAGGGATGTAGAAAGCTGGAAAGAGAGTTATTTCCAACTTTACAACATGATAAAAGCTGGAAAAAAAAAAAAAGGCCAGGTGTGGTGGCTAACGCCTGTAATTCCAACACTTTGGGAGGCCAAGGAGGGCAGATCACCTGAGGTCAGGAGTTCAAGACCAGCCTGGCCAACATGGTGAAACCCTGTCTCTACTAAAATACAAAAATTAGCTGGGCATGGTGGCATGTGCCTGTAATCCCAACTACTCGGGAGGCTGAGGCAAAAGAATTGCTTGAACCTGGAAGGCGGAGGTGCAATGAGCCAAGTTCGTACCAGATCACCTGAGGTCAGGAGTTCAAGACCAGCCTGGCCAACATAGTGAAACCCTGTCTCTACTAAAATACAAAAATTAGCTGGGCATGGTGGCATGTGCCTGTAATCCCAGCTACTCGGAAGACTGAGGCAAGAGAATTGCTTGAACCTGGAAGGCGGAGGTGCAGTGAGCCAAGTTTGTACCACTGAACTCCAGCCTGGGCAACAAAGTAAGACTCTGTCTCAAAAAAGAAAAAAAAAAAAAAAAGAAGTGAAAAAAATGACTTTTATTGAACTCATCATAGCACTCAGGTTGACAGACAAAGGACTGACTACAAATCTAGAGAGAGATATGTGCTTACAGGAAGAAACAGGAACAGAGTCTTGTTTACCTGGGAAAGACATTCCCAAACACTATATAAGCTGGTAAACAGATTAGGCTAGAACATTTCTAACAAATGCTGAGGGCTTAGTGTGACCTAGTGTGTGAGTGCAAAATCCCAAAAATGATCACCAACATAAAGGAGCTTGTACCTTCTTGCAAATTTTTTCTCTAGCAAACTCATAAGGAAAGTTAAGAAAAGTTCTGAGAAATCTTGTCCTATGGTGCTGGTTGTGGGAGAAGAACAGAAACCATATTAAACCTTCCCCAAACCATCACCCCTAAGGAAGATAAGCCTCAATATGCAATAGGAAGGCCATCAAAATTGTAACATAAAGACAATGATAGAAATCTACTACAACTGAAGTAGAAGAAGGAGCAGAGGAAAAATTCTCTTCTTGAGGAATGTGTATGAAGATATGCTAGGCCTAGCATTACATCTAGGCCTCCCTAATACTGAAGTTTAATCGAAACATCAGAGAATATCCCTCCATACCACCCACCACCACATATTGAATAAAAATAACAATGAAATATAACTGAGAGAGCTGCAAGAAACAGACTGTCCCTGACAAGCAGCATACAGGGAAGTTCCAAAGCCAAAGGGATAAGCAAGAAATCACACAGGGAAATTTGATGCACTGAGGATAACCACAGCCATAACAAACTTCATATCCAATCTAAATCTTGACTAGATTAACACAAACACCCACACTAAAGTCCTAGCGAAAGGAAAGCCATGTTTATCTCTATATTAAAAAGATTACCTAAGTATTATTGCCCTATTCAACATGTTTAGTTTTCAACAAAAAATTATAAAACATAAAAAATTTAAAAGACAAGGAAAAACAAAAGAGACATTGCAATCATCAGAACCAGACTTAAATATGACCAAATATTGGACAAGGAATATAAAATATCGATAACTAATATGTTAACAGCTCTAATGGAAAAGATGGATGACATACAAAATTGGATAGGTAATTGCAGCACAAAGATGAAAACTATTAGAAAAATTCCAGTGCTAAAAACACTCTAGAAATCAAATACATGGTCATAGAAATGAAGAATTTCTTTGATGGCTTCATAAGTAGACTTGACACAGCCAATGAAAGAATGAGTGAGCTTGAAGATATGTCAGTAGAAATTACCCGAACAGAAACACAAACAGAAAAAAAGAACAGGGAACAAACAAAACTGTGAATCCAAGGTCTATTGGATAATTTCAAATGGTCTAACATATGCATATTTAGAATCCAGAAGGAAGAAGTAGCAAGGGCATTAATGGGACAATGAAAAAAATATAAAGATATAATGGCCAAGAATGGTCCAAATTTAACAAGTGATGTCAAACTCACCGGTTTAAAAAGCTCACAGGATATCGAGCAGGATAAAAAAAATTTAAATGAAAACATACCTGTCATGTCATATTTAATGAAAGACAAAGAGAAAATCTTAAGAGCAGTCATAGGGAGAAAGAACATTAGCCATAAAGTAACAAGATAATTATTACAATAAACATCAGAAAATAAGAAAGGAGACAATGAAGTTTTACACTTAAAATAACTGTCAAGCCATTATTTTATAGTCAGTAAAAATATCTTTTAAAAAACTAAGAGTAACTAAAGAATTTCTCAGAAAACAAAGCAAAACACTGAGGAAACCATTTGCATCAGACATTCTACAGAAATTATAAAGGAAATAGTTTAGGCAGAAAGAATACATCACTGCAGCATGATAAGGAAAGTTTTTAATAAAAAAGTTGTAAAAGAATATCATATAGGACAGAAACTTAGATATACACAAATAAATTTTTATTTTTAATTTAATTTAATTTTATTTTTTTTGAGACGGAGTCTCGTTCTTTCACCCAGGCTGTAGTGCAGTGGCGCGATCTCGGCTCACAGCAGGCTCCGCCCCCCGGTGTTCACGCCTTCTCCTGCCTCAGCCTCCTGCGTAGCTGGGACTACAGGCGCCCGCCACCTCGCCTGGCTAATTTTTTGTATTTTTAGTAGAGACGGGGTTTCACCGTGTTAGCCAGGATGGTCTTGATCTCCTGACCTCGTGATCTGCCCGCCTCGGCCTCCCAAAGTTGCTGGGATTACAGGCGTGAGCTACCGCTCTCGGCCATAAATAAATTTTTAAAACATCAGTAATAAAATAGTTTTTAAAATTTCTTCTAGTTGCTATAAAAGTTAAATAACTAATAGTGACAATGTTTATGTATTTGTATCATATGTAAGAGTAAAGTGTATGACAACAATGGCATAAGGGGTGGGAAGGAGGAATTGGGAAAACACTGGCATGAGGTTCTAGCAAAAAACATGAAGGAGTATAGTATTATTTGAAGATGGACTTATCTAAATTAAAACTTCATATTAGTCCATTCTCACGCTGCTATGAAGAAATACCTGAGACTGGGTAATTTATAAAGAAAAGAGGTATAATTGACTCACAGTTCCACATGGCTGAGGATGCCTTAGGAAACTTACAATCATGGTGGAAGACACCTCTTCACAGGGCAGTGGGAGAGAGAATGAATGCAAGCAGCGGAAATGCCAGACGCTTATAAAACCATCAGATCTAGTGAGACTCACTCATTATGACAAGAACAGCATGGGGGAAACTGCCCCCATGATTCAGTTACTTCCACCTGGTCCTGCCCTTGACACGTGGGGATTATGGAAATTACAATTCAAGGTGAGATTTAGGTGGGGACACAGAGCCAAACCATATCAAACTTACATTACAAACCCTATTAAAACAACTAAAAAGTTTTTGTTTGTTTGTTTGTTTGTTTGTTTGTTTGTTTTGAGACGGAGTCTTGCTCTGTTTGTTGCCCAGGCTGGATGGCACGATCTCGGCTCACTGCAAGCTCCGCCTCCCGGGTTCACGCCATTCTCCTGCCTCAGCCTCCCTAGTAGCTGGGACTACAGGCGTCCGCCACCACGCCTGGCTAATTTTTTTTTTTTTTTTTAGTAGAAACGGGGTTTCACCATGTTAGCCAGGATGGTCTCAATCTCCTGACCTCGTGATCTGCCCGCCTCGGCCTCCCAAAGTGCTGGGATTACAGGCGTGAGCCACCGCGCCAGGCCAAGTTTTTTAAAGAAGTATAAATAGTAAATAAACAGAGGACATAAAGTGAAATCATAAAAAAAAATTTAATTAAACCCTGGAATACAAAAAAGAGGAGAAGAAAGCAAAGAATTAATAAAACAAAATAGGAAAAAGCTAGCAAGTTGGTAGATTTTAATCCAGCTATATCAATAATCACTTTAAATCTGAATGATCTAAACACACCTATGGCTGTCAGAATGAACAAAAAATGCAACACAAAGCAATATGCTATCTCAAAGCAACATACTTTAAATGTAAAGACACAGATTAGATAAAGTAAAAGGATGGTAAAAATTATAGCATGCAACCACTAACTAAAAGTGACCCGGAATGACTATATTAATTTCAGATAAACTTCACAACAAGGGATATTATTAAGGATAAGGAGGGACACTGGATAATAATGAAATCAATTCTACAAGGGGCACAAATTGTAAATGTGTATTAACAATAGAACTTCAAAGTACATGAGGCAAGTACTAAGAAATGGGGAAAAAAGTAAATAGACAATAGATGAACTCACAACTAGAGTTAGGAACTTCAACATTTTTCTTTCAGTAATTAACAGAATAAGTAGGCAGAAAATCAGTAAGGAAATTGGAGACTTAACCAACACCATCAGCCAACTTAACCTAACAGATATTTATAAAATATGCCACCCAACAACAGCAGAATACACATTCTTCCCAAGTGCATGTGAAACAGTCACCAAGATAGATTTTGCTTTTTGTTTTTGGGTCGGGAGTGGGGGCATGAAACAAGAAAATAAACTTGAAGGAATAGAAACTGTACAAAATGTGGTCTCAGACTATAATTGATTAAACAAAAAATAAATAATGGAAAGATACCTGGAAATGACCAAATATTTGGAAATTAAACAGCATGCTTTAAAATAATCTGTGAGACACAGAAGGCTCAAAACAATTAAAAATATTGTGAACTAGGCCAAGCATGGTGGCTCACGCCTGTAATCCCAGCACTTTGGGAGGCCGAGGCAGGTGGATCACCTGAGGTCAAGAGTTCAAGACCAGCCTGGCCAACATGGTGAAACCTCATCTCTACTAAAAACACAAAATTTAGCCAGGCTTGGTGGCATGCACCTGTAATCTTAGCTTCTCGGGAGGCTGAGACACAAGAATTGCTTGAACCCAGGAGGCAGAGGTGCAGTGAGCTGAGACTGTGCCATTGCACTCCAGCCTGGGCAACAGAATGAGAGCCCATCTAAAAAAAAGTGTGTGAACTAAAAGAAAATAAAAATACAAGTCAAAGTTTGTGGATGCAGCTAACACAGCATTTAGAGGAAAATTTATAGAAATAAATGCTCATATAAGAAAAGATTTAAAGTGAGTAACTGATAATATTAATGCAAGCAGAAGGCAGAAAAATATAGAATTGCGCACCATTTTACTAAAATGCTTTTTAAAAACTCAACTAGGATGTTGAGGGATTCAGGATGGAATGCAGACTGTAAAAAATTAGTCTAATTGTATCACACATGTCTATGATATAAACTCACTAAGGTGCAGGGTTGGGGGATTGGGGCAGGAGGTGGGGAGCTGACCTAAGCAACTGTGGAAATGGTAATTTTACTTGATATGGCAAAGCTAAAGATAAAAAGAACTGAACACAGCCATTGTTCTCTAACCATTTTTCACACCGGGACTGGGTTAGCAATTCTAAAATTATACATATGTCATATACCTTGCTTATTTGAATTTATTCACTTATATGAACAAATAAATAATTTATAGATAATGGGAGCCAGGTTTCTCATTATAGCAGGAAGAGATTACAAATAAACAAAGCAGAGGGGGAGATCTGAGTGAACCATGTTATGCTGCATTAGAATTACAAATAGTATAAATTCATGTTTCTTTTAACGTATCACTAGAAAGATACACAAATGTAAATGTGTATGTTAGTATGCATAAAATATTCCCTAGCACTATTCACTGAGAGGGTCTAGACACAGTGAACCCCCGTTATAATGAGCATACCTAGCACCTAGATTTTGATTTCTAAATATAATTCTTCAATAAGAAAATCCAGGGCTCTGTAGAGAAACGGGTGATTTTACAATTGGAACAAGAAAAATACAGGATGAACCTGGAGCATCTTGTAGTGTCAAAAAGGAAGTAAGTATTCAAAAACCTAAAAATAAGAGAGGATAGAGACATGTCAAAAAAAGTATAGGAGCTAACGTACACCTGAACACTCCTCCTGAAGGCCTGAGGATGGGCCCACTCAACCTGCTGCTGCCATCACAGCTGGCACCCACCCCAACATGCCACCTGCAGGAGACTGGCTTACCCAGCTCATCACAGCCACTGCCAATACCAGCACAGGCAGCTTGTAATCTAAAAGGTTTTCCTGCCACTGCTACTGCCATAGCCCACGCCACACCCACTGCCCAGGGGTCCGAGGACCTGCTCATTTACCTGGCCCACTGCTGCCACTGCCAGCACTTGAGCAAGATGCCTGAAGACCTAACAATCAATCTGCCTGAATCCGCTAACATTGTCCTTATCATATGTCATCCTGTGACCCAAGAAAGACAGGCTCAGATCATTGCTACCACCACTGGAGCCCAAGGACTGGCCCACCTGGCATCCTTATCATCAGCAAAAATTCACCGTAGCCTCCACTAACAAACACACCGTAAGCCACTGAGAAAATTATAGACAACACTGACACTGTTTACAGCCAAAGATCATACAGAGAAAACACTACTGCACATACCCAGAGTCAAAGCCAAAGTACCCTACCCAACCAACACCATTGATACATCTTTAGAAAAAATCCTCCCCTATGAAAGCAAACTTAAAAAATTGGAAGAAGCAACTGTTACAACAGATGTGTGGATGTCAATGTAAGGACACAGGAAATATGAAAAAGCAGGGAAATATGACACTTCCAAAGGAAAAAAAATAATTTCCTATCAATAGATTCCAATGAAACAAAAATTTATAAAATCCCCCCAAAAGAATTCAAAATAATAATATTAAAGAATCTCAATGAGATGCAAGATAAAGCAGGTAAATAATACAAAAAAATCAGAAAACCAATTGAGGATATGAATGAGAAGTTACCAACGACATAGATGTCATTTAAAAAAAAGTAACCAAACAAAAATTCTGGAAACCAATAATTTATTGAATGAAATAAAAAATACATTTAAAAGCTTAAGCAATAGACTAGATCAAACAGAAAGAAGAATTTTAGAACTTGAAAACAACTCTTTTGAAATAATCCAGTCAGACAAAAGTTTTTTTTAAAAAAGAATGAATTTTAAAAGCCTATATGACATATGGAACATCATAAAGTAACCAAATATTTAAATCTCAGGTGTGTCAGAAGGCAAACAGAAAACAAAAAGAATAGAAAACTTACTTAACAAAATAATAACTGAAAACTTCTGAAGTCTAGCAAGAGATTTAGATATCCAGATAAAGGAAGCTCAGCAATCCCCAAATAAATGCAATTTGAAAAGATCTTCTCCATTTGCACATTATAGTGAAACTGCCAAAAGTCAAAGACAAAGAGAGAATTCTAAAAATAGCAAGAGAAAAGCATCTACTCATTTATAAGCAAACCACCTTCAGATTAATAGTGGGTTTCCTAGTAGAAACCTTACAGGCCAGATGTTATCCATGCTATCTAACTATATTTTTGTACCCATTAACCAACTCCACTCCCCCAACCCTACTATCCTTTCCAGCCTCTGTTACCCATTTTTCTACTCTAGCTCCATGAGTTCAATTGTTTTAATTTTTAGATCTCACAAATAAGTGAGAAAATGCAAAGTTTGTCTTCTTAGGCCTGGCTTATTTCACTTAACATAATGACTCCCAGCTCTATCTATGTTGTTTCAAATGACAGGATCTCATTCTTTTCCATGGCTGAATAGTACTCCATTGTGTATATGTATCATAATCAACAATAATTTGTTGTACATTTAAAAATAACTAAAAGTATAATTGGATTGTTTGTAACACAAAAAAGGATAAATGTTGAGGTAATAGTATCCCTTGATGTGATAATTATGCATTGTATGCCAGTATCAAAATATCAAATGGACCTTATAAATATATATATGTGCTATGTATGCACAAAAATTAAAAATTAAAAAGAAGAAACCTTAAAGACCAAAAGAAAATGGGATGATATATTCAAAGGGTTGGAAAAAAATTGCTAGCTAAGAACATTATATCCTGGAAGGTTATCCTTCATAAATGAAAGAGAAATAAAGTCTCTCCCAGACAAGCAAAAGCTGAGGAAATTCATCACCATTGGACTCATCCTATAAGAAATGTTTAAGGGAGTCTTAAACCTGGAAGCAAAGGGACAAAATCTATTATCATGAAAACCCATTAAAATATAAACCCACTGGTAGAGTAAACACACAAATAAAGAAAAGAAAGGACTCAAATGTTACCACTACAGAAAACCACCAAACCACAATGTTAACTGAACAGTAAGAGAGAAAGGAATAAAGGGTATACAAAATAACCAGAAATTAATTGAGAAAATAACACAAATAAGCCTTCAAATGTCAATAATAACCTTAAATATAAATGAATTAAACTTTTCTCTTAAAAGATATAGACTACCTGAATGGATCAAAAAACATGACCCAACCATATGCTCCCTCCAATAAATGCAATTTACCTGTAAAGACACATATTAACTGAAAGTAAAGGAATGGAAAGATATTCCATACAAACGGAAACCAAAAGTGAACAGGTATAGCTATACTCATATCAGATTAAACAAATTAAGTAAAAAAACAGCAAAAAAGATCATTACATAATGATAAAGGGCTCAATTTAGTAAAAGGATATAATACTTCTAAGCATATATGCACTCAACACCACAGCACCCAGATATATAAAGCAAATGTTAGATCTAAAGGGAGAGATAGGCTCCAATACTATAATACTTGGGGACTTCAATACTCCACCCTCAGAATTAAACACATCATCTAGGCAGAAAATTAACATAGAAACAGTGGATTAAGCTGCACTTTATACCAAATGGACCTTACAGACATTTACAGAACATTTCATTAAACAGCCACAGCATACACATTCTTCTCATCAGCACTTAGAACATTTTCCAGTTTAGACAATACGTTGGGACACAAAACATGTCTCAACAAATTTTTAAAAATCAAAATCATATCAAGTATTTTCTCAGGCCACAATGTAAAACTAGAAATCAATAACAAGAAGAACTTTGGAAACTGTATAAATGCATGAAAAATTAAACAGAATGTTCCTAAATGATCAATGGGCCAAGAAAGAAATTTAGAAAGAAATCAAAATATTTCTGAAACAAATAAAAATGGAAACACAACATATCAAAATCTATGCAATACAGCAAAAGCAGTGCTAAGAGGGAAGTTTATAGCAATAAATGCCTATGTCAAGAAAGTAGAAAGATTTCAAATAAACAATCTAACAATGCATCTCAAGGAACTAGAAAGGCAAAAACAAACCAAACCTGAAGTTAGTACATGGAAAGAAAGAAATAATAAAGACCTGAGCAGAACTAAATAAAAATAGAAACTAAAAAAAATACAAAGAATCAACTAAACAAAACAATTGGTTTTTTGAAAAGATAAACAAAATCAATAAGCTGCTAGCTAGACTAACCAAGGGAAAAGAAAGAGAACATCCAAATAAGCAATCAGAATTAATACCACAGGAATACAAGAGATTATTGGAGACTATTATAAACAACCATACACTAAAAAACTTGAAAACCTAGAGGAAATGGATAAAATTCTGGACACATATAACCTACCAAGATAGAATCAGAAAAAAATAGAAAATCTGAACAGACAAATAACAAGTAATGAAATTGAATCAGTAATACAAAGTCTCTCAACAAAGAAAATTCCAAGACCAGACGGCTTTACTGCTGAATTCTACCAAACTTACAAAGAAGAACTAACACCAATTCTCCTTAAGGTGTTTCAAAAAATTGAAGAGGAGATAATTCTTCCTAACTTATTCCACAATAACAGCATTACTCTGATTCCAGAGTAATTCCAACCAGACAAGGGTGGAACAAAAAAGAAAACTAAAGGCAAATATCCCTGATGAACACAGACACAAAAATCCTCAACAAAATATTAGCAAACTGAATCCAACAGTGCATTAAAAATATTATACACCATGATCAAATGGGATTTATCCCATGGATGTAAGGATCATTCCACATATGCAAATCAATGAACATGACATATCACGTAACAGAATAAAGGACAAAAATCAAATTATCATCTCAGTAGACACAGTAAAAGCATTTGAAAAACTTCAACATCCCTTCATGATAAAAACTCTCAACAAACTAGGCACAGAAAGAACATGCCGCAACGTAATAAAGGTCATATATATCACACACCCACAGCTAACATCATACCGAATGGGGAAAAGCAGAAAGCCTTTTCTTGAAAAACTGGTTGAAGACAAGGATGCACACTTTCACTACACCTATTCAATATAATACTGGAAGTCTTAGACAAAGAAATCAGGCAGGAGAGAGAAATAAATAGCATCCGAGGTGGAAAGAAGAAGTTAAATTGTCCCCCTTTGCAGATGACATGATCTTATATCTAGAAAGACCTAAAGACTGAGCCAAAAAATTTCATATATCTGACAAATTCAGTAAAATTGCAGGATACAAAATCAACATACAAAAATAGTGTTTCTATATACCAAAAAAGAACTAGCAGAGAAAGAAATCAATAAAGCAATCCCATTTACAATAGCTAAAAAAACTAAGAATAAATTTAACCAAGGAAGTGAAAGACTTTTATGAGGAAAACTACAAAATACTGAAAAGATAAATTGAGGAGGATACAAACACATAAAATGACATCTCATGCTTATGGATTGAGAGAATTAAAATCATTAAAATGACCATATTACTCAATGCAATTTACAGACTTCATGCAATCTCTATCAAATATCAATACCATTTTTCACAGAAATATTTTAAAAATCCTAAAATGTATATGGAACCAAATTAGTACCCAAATAGCCAAAGCAATCCTAAGCAAAAAGAATAAAGCTCAAGGCATCACATTACCTGACTTCCAAATATATTACAAGGCTATAGCAACCAAAAAAGCATAGTATTGGTATAAAAACAGACACATGAAACAATAAAGCAGAATAAAGAACCCAGGAAAATCCACGTATTTACAGGCAACTGATTTTCAACGAAGATGCCAAGAGCATACATTGGGGAAAGGATACCCTCTTCAATAAATGGTGCTAGGAAAATTGGATATCCATGTGCAGAAGAATGAAACTGGACCCCTATCCTTACCCCCACAAAACCCAACTCAATGTGGATTAAAGACTTAAACATAAGACCCAAAATTATAAAACAACTAGAAGAAAACATAGGGGAAAAGGACATAAGTCTATGCAAAGATTTTTATGGTTAAGACTTCAAAAGCACAGGCAACCAAAACAAAAAGAGACAAATGGGACTGTTTTAAACTAAAAATCTTCTACACAGCAAAGGAAACAATCAACAGAATAAAGATACAGCCTGTTAAATGGGAGAAAATATTTGCAAACTATTCATCTGGCAAGAAACTAATACCCAAAAAATATAATGAACTCTTGGCATGAATGTAAATTAGTACAGCCACTATGGAAAACAGCATGCAGATTTTTCAAAAAGCTAAAAAATAGAACCACCATACTATCAAGCAATCCCACCACTGGGTATTGATTCAAAGGAAAGGAAATCAGTATATCAAAGGGATACTTGCACCCTCATATTTATTATAGCACTATTCACAATAGCAAAGAAGTGGAATCAATCTTAGTGTCCATCAATGACAAATGAATGAAGCAGCTGTGGCATATATACACAATTGAGTACTATTTGGCCATAAAAAAGAAGGAAATCATGTTATGCGTGGCAACCATAAATGGAACTGGAGGTCATTGTGTTAAGTGAAATAAGCCAGGCACAGAAAGACAAATATTCCATGTTCTCCTTCATATGTGGAAGCTAAAAAAGTCGATCTCATGGAGGTGGAGGGGAGAATGAAAAATACCCGAGGCTGGAAAGGGTGAGTAGGTGGGCAGGGGAAATAAAAAGAGGTTGGTTAATGGGTACAAACACACAGATTAAAAAAAGGTAAGTCCTAATGTTCTATAGCAGAATAGAGTGACTAGTTAACAACAATGTATTATACATTTCAAAATAGCTAAAAGAGATGACTTGAAATGCTTCTAAAACATAGAAATGATAAACATTCGAGGTGATGGATCCCTAAATATCTTGACTTGATCATTACACATTCTATGCATGTAACAAATTTCACAGTACCCCATAAATATGTACAACTATTATGTATCACTAAATAAAGGATATAGGAGCCAACCTAAAAAAGCTCCCACTGGTCAAAGCTGTTGTTTGAGTATCAAAATTAACAAAAATAGTATTGTGTTATAACCAAAAGAGTGAAATAAATACTCTTGGGTCAATACTGATATAAAGACATGAACTAATCAATTAATTAAGAAATGACAAATCTTTACAGAAGAGATTCAAATAATATCTGTAGATATTCCTCCCTCCAAGAGACAGAGTTTAATTTCCTTCCCCTTGACAATAAATTGGACTCAGTGACTAATTGCCAATGATTAGTGTAGGAAAAAATATTAGTACTTTTACAATGGAGAAATTGAGCAGACATCACCTTAACTAAGTGATTAGGGTTAACATCAATATTGGTAAGTGATGTTGGTCTCATATACTTCCTTATGTGATAAGAAGGGTATTTCACCTCTGTGGTATTCTTCCAAAAACCCATAAACCCAGCCTAATCATGAGAAAATAATCAGACAAATCCAAATTGAAGAATATTCAAAAAAATTCCTGACCAGTACTCCCAATGACTGTCAATGTGGTTAAAAAAAAAAAAAAAGAGTAGGTGGGGAGGGAATTGCCATAGGGATTAAATAGACAAAGATTAAATATATTGTGGTACACTGGATTTGATGATAAGATAGGAAAAGGACATGCTGAATTCTGAAAAAAGTCTATTAATTATATTGTTCCTATGTAAATTTCTTAATTTTCACACATGTACCATGCTTATGTAAGGTGTCAGCACTAGGGGAAATTAAATGGAGAGTACACAGGAATTCTATGTACTATCTTTGCAATTTTCTATAAATCTAAAATTATTGCAAAATTAAAAGATTTTAAAAATATCTGCCAAGCATGACTCTATAATGTCTGAGTGGGATTTTATATAATAAAAATGCTAATACTTTATTAAATCATATGAACATATACACACACTGGAATTGCACAGAAAGAAATGTTATTTTTTGGAACAGGATGCTTATACTCTAAAGTTACTTTTACACTTATAGAAATGTTCAATGCAGTGTATTGTTTAAAACTAACATGTGTGTTTGTTGTTGCGCTGATATGCTCCTTAAAGTCTACATAATGAGATACAATTCTCGTGTTTTTTTTTAAACCTTGCTGGGATTGCATGCAGTGATAGAGATGCCTTTAAGAATGTTTCACAGATGCTTCAAATCATTCATTTCTCATAAACATATGGGGTCTATTCTTCCGTCACTGTGCATAATTCCTATTGACACTAATGGGAAGTGTGCATGCATTTCACTATAATTTGTCCCCAAACAAACTGAAAATCATCACTGTTGAGATGAGAAGCAAGGCAGCAACCAGAGGAACTGACTCCCTAAAACTCAGATTCTAGAATCTTTTCTCTCAAAATTCCAGTTACAGAAAGTTAATCTGTCATGATTTCACATAATAAACTATAATAAGTCAAAATATAATACTTATAGATATTTTATTTGTAGGGCATGGTATCTTCCTAAATTAATTACCTTTATTCAACTACAGTAGAAATAGCTCAATATTTTGGAGTACAACCGAAGAAAAATGTCAGTGCTACAAAAATAGCTATAAGGTACTAGTTGGTAAGAGTGTTATATATTTTGAAGACCTCTATTTATATCTCTATAAATTAACTGCTCATTTTTTCAAATGTCTTTTTACAAAATCGTGTCCCCATTTTTAAACACTAAATTAAATGTAGATTTTTTTTCTATTTAAAATTTAAGATTATAACATGTATCCACCAAGAAGGAGAATCTTAAATTAAGGAGATTTGTTCACTGTTCAACAGTCCCATTTCCACATCAGAAAACATAACAAAGTTCCTACTTGTGTATCTCAGCAGTGTCATTTTGGCCAGGTTCCAAGATGTAGGGGGTTGCTTCAGATCTCAGTGGGAGGCAGCCATTATGTGTTTGGGGGAAGCCATTTGAAGCTGGCAGGTGAGCCAATTCTATCACCGAGGAGAAAGTACTGCTAGTAAAGTCACCTTGTGACAAGTGTCTCCCTGCTGTGGGTTAACTTCCAGAAAGAAGGTTTAGAGAACACATAACAGTTCACAACAAGGAAATCAAACAAAATAAATTGGGCATAATTTGACACTGTTAAAATAAGAAGTGTCACTAGCGCTGCTATGAAGTGGGAGTTATGAAGAGCTTCTGCAGAGATTAAACATTTAGTTAGACAATAAAATAGCTTGCTGGTCAAGCCAAAGACATTATTCTTAATGCTTAAACTGATGGAAACTAGTGAATAAGTCTTTTTGACAAGCAGGGCTGCCAGAGAGTAATAACTGGGTCTTAAGAAGCATGCATGTGTTTATGTAATTGATAAGTCCCAAGCAGAGAGAAATGCAACATTATAAAAGATAAAAAAATAGAAGATGGTGTTTTAAAAAAATTTTCCAACAAATTGCAGAGAACTGGCCAGAAAAATTATTGTACAGAAACATGATTTTCTTTTCCAAATCCACCTGAATCTTGGTAGACTAAAGAGAAATATTTCCACATTATAGTTTTTCTCATACCAAAACACGGTCACTCAATTTTCAAACAAATACTTCCTCAGCATGTTCTGAAATGGTTTAAGCTGTATGTAAGGAATGCCTAGTGGAAAGAGGATGGAACTAATATGAAATAGTTCAAACAGAAATGTTGGCAGAAATTAGCAAAAAGTAATAGCCATAAAATATAGTGAAAGCATATTCAGTGGTTTTTTTTTTCCACCTCTGCCCATCCCTCTCCCATTTACTAACAAAAAATATTCCGTATATGCTTTTGTTTACAGGTGCCCAGTGTTCGCATTCAGGTTTTTACTCCACCAGTGCACACCTACTTGGGACAAAACCTTATACCTCACCTTTTAACTTTATTTATTAAATTCTAGTTTACCTGAAATTACTATTAGAAAAGAAGCCATTAAATTAAATGAATTCACACTAATATATGAATCACTACCCTTGTAAATTGTTTGCTATCTAAAACAGTGTTTCTCAAAGTATGGTCTCTGGATCCATGTACCATGCTAAACACTCACAATCTGGACCCACTGGATCAATCAGAAATGCTACCTATCAAACCATTTCCCCTAGGTGATTGCTATGGCACAAAATTTGGAAAATCAATGACATAAGGAATCATTGTCAAAGAAAACACTGATAACTCAAAAGGCTGGCCTCTAGAATTTCAAGAGTAATTGGGGGGAGGTATTTTGTGAAAGAGATCTTTGGCACTTCTCAGATCATACCAGAAGTCACTATCTTGAGTATGTATGGCCTTGGGTCTGGGTGAGATACACAATGTTATTAATAAACTATGGCTAGTATGACTCCTTCAGCACAGATTGTGAATGGTCCTTGAAATCAAGGAAGAAGAGTAAAACAAGATTTACATTTGTCCTGATCACTTAGCTTGTAGATTTGTAACACTGATTTTCAAACACATATTGAATAAATAAAATCATAGCCTTTGGCCACATAGTGATGACATAAGATATCATAAAAATTACTCATATTTGACTTTCTTTGACATGCAAAGGAAATGTGAACAAGAGTAAAGTATGCTCTATAAATATAACTTCAATGATCAAAATAAGAACTCTTAGATTATGATTTGGCCAGCTGAGATGATGTTTTCCCAAATGCATTTTTCCAGGCATTTGTCCATGCTTTCTCCTCTACCTCACTAAATCCTGCCTATCAAGAATCCAGCTTGAATGCCTTTTCCCTGTCTTGAACCTTCAGCTTAGATTCATCCTCCAAATTCTCATAGCATTTGATCATGACTATAAAGATATGTGGTACTTTCTAAGTTGTATTAACATTATATGTGTGTATGTATACATGAATATACACGTGTGTAATATACTTATGCACATATACACACACTACATATGTGTATTACTCCATTTTTATACTGTTATAAGGAAATACTCTGGACTGGGTAATTTATGAAGAAAAGAGGTTTAATTGACTCAGTTCTGCACAGCTGAGGAGGCCTCAGGAAACTTACAATCATATCAGAAGGGGAAGAAGCATGTCTTACACAGGAGCTGGCAAGAGAGAGCAAGCAAAAGCAGGTAAAAAAAAAAAACTGTCTTACAAAACCACCATATCTCTTGAGAACTCACTATCACGAGAACAGCATGGGGGAAACTACCCTCATGATCCAATCACCTCCCACCTGGTCCCTCCCTCGACATGTGGGGATTACGGAGATTACAATTCAAGATGAGATTTGGGTGGGGACACAGAGCCAAACCATATTAATATGTAAATACAAATATTAGTATAAATATATTTTTTAAAGCTTCCATACTTGAACATGAGCTGCTGAAGTGGAGGATTCTGCTATGCTAGATGAATTAGATACACTAAAATGAAGCACATCCAAACTATGCCTAAGGAAGGAAATGAGGGGAATAGGGATAGAGGGAGGAAAATAAGAAAGGAAGGAGAATTCTCACCAGAGAGGCTGCAAGGAATTCTGAAACTTTGTTAGTGCAACCTTTGCTTTTAAGCCAACTACCCATTAAATGAGGAAGGTGGGCTTCTATGCATTTCTTCCCTTCTCACTTTTTAGGAATTTGGCTATACTGCCTGTATTCATCTCTCTGAATGCAGTAACTTACTCTATGTAGAATACTTTTTTATTCCAAACTAGGTCTTTCTTTCTAATTTCCTGTTTCCATATACACAACTAAACATCTCTACCTGATTATCCCAAGAAAATGAGAAATGTATATTTAATTCATCCAACTTTTACTGGACACCTACTATATGCTAACTCGTCTTCTGAGCATTAGAGATACAGCAGTGAATAAAACAGAATGAGCTGTTGCATCACAGAGCTTACATATCTATATGATAAAAGTCACATAGTAAAATATGTAAAGAATTAATTCAGAAACAGAGTAGAGGCTGCTTGAGGAAGAGGGTTTACTAATTTTGCTAATGCAGGGAGGTGACTTTTCAGCTGAGACTTGAATAGAGGAAACAAGGCAAGTGGGCTAGAGGAGGAAAGTCCATTTCAGACAGAGAACAGTAAGTGCAAAGGTCCTAAGGTATAAGGAGACAGCTGTAAAGACAGTGTAGCTGGAGAGGATGAGTGAGGAGGAGAGTTAGAGAGGTATCCAGGGAGACCATGTGGAAGTTTAAAAGCCATGCTCAGGACTTTGGATTTTATTCCTTAATAGGAAGCCACTGGAGGGTGTGAGCCAGGGTGTGACATGATGTGGCTTATGATTCAAAAGAAGCATTCTGCCCGCTGCAGGTGCAGGGCATGTGGAGAAGCAGGGAGACTCTTTTGTCATCTCTTGCAATGATCCTGAGGAGAGATGACTTGGGCAGAGCAGTAGCAGCAAATAGTAAGAAGCAGCATATAATTTGAAGGTAAAGCCAATAAAATGTACTGATGGATTGGATATAGGGAGCAAGAGAGAAATCTAAGAGCTAGATAAATAGCAGTGCGATTTTATAACAGGGAACACTAGAAAAAGATCAAATTGGTGGGCAAGCACTTTTTAAAGTTTTCTGTTTTAAATATATAAAATGTGATATTAAATACCTAGTTGCAATATTAGATAGGCAGTTAGATATGATTCTAGAATTCAGGGGAAATGTCAGAGCTAAATAAATGTGGTAAGCACATTAATATAAATGGAATTGACAGCCATGTAACTATGGAAGAAGACTTAGGAAGTGAGAATACCTAGAAAAAAGAAAAGAACCAAAGAAGGAGCCAGAAACTCATAATTTTTACAGACAACCCTCTCCTTCTGTATTTCCCATTTATCCTTCAAGTCTCAAATAGCAGCTTTTCTAGGAAGACTTCTCTACTCTCTGTTCTCCCATAGCATCCTGTACAGACTTTTGCAATAGTGCAAATGACACATATGGGTGGCTTTTTTAGCATGTTAGCAGACTGGAAACTTCTTGACCTTAGGACTGTCTTAATTATTATTATATCCCCATTAAGTCCTTTGTTAGCCAAAATGAATGAATGAGCATTCGTTACCCCCATTAATTAAATATGTGTGTATATGTAATTTAAAGATTCACCAGTGTGAAGCAGAATCCTTAATTTTCTTTTAGCTTTGTTCAAAAACCAGTGAAGAATTTCTCGTAGTATAAACTCATAGATTAATAACATTCCAATGAGGTACATATAATTTTTTAAATAGAGCACAAAGCCCCTAAAGGAAGAATTAAAAATAAATCTACTGTAAAGATGTCCTAGTACCCAACAGTTATTTTTCCTGATCCTCTCCCTTCTCCCACCCTCCACCCTCAGGAAGGCCCCTGTGTCTGTTGATCCCCTGTATGTGTCCACGTGTTCTTATTATTTGGCTCCCACTTATAAGTGAGAACATGCAGTATTTGGTTTTCTGTTCCTATGTTAGCTTGCTTTAAAAAAAAGAAAGAAAGAAAGAAAGAAAGAAAGAAAGAAAGAAAGAAAGAAAGAAAGAAAGAAAGAAAAAGATGTCCCATCAGAAATCCAAAACAAATTTGGCTAAATTTTTTGGCAAGAATTCTAAGCACAATGAGTGGTTAAAGTTATAGGCAATGAGAGCAAAAAATCATATAGACCACACCTTGAAACACTTTAAAAAATTGATAACAATTTGATCTATATTTTCCCTTCTTTTTCTCTGATCAAAATAGTCTGCTTTACTTTTCCACTATTATGGAAACAAAGTAAGTGTATAGAATTGTCCATTTTTTAGGAGAAACTATAAATATAATAATTTACACAAAGCCTTCTCTAAAATCAATACATTTTATCCTAGGACTATTTTAAATCTAAAATTGATATTGTTAGGCACTGATTTATATAATGCTTGAAATCTGCTGTTAACAGACATATAAGAGAAGAAGTGAATATCCTGGCGTACAACAGCAGATTGAAGGAAAATGGCAGAATAGTGTCTTACTTCTCCCATGTTCGGTAGGAGATTGAAAGCCTTATTTGAAGTCTTGGGGAAGTTGTTAAGACTATAAGGACAAGTAATGAAATGTCTTTAGACAATGTGGTGATGAAATTTTAAGAGGCAAACATAAACAGATAGTGGTAACTTTCCAAATAAACATTAATCCATTAGGATAATTGTTACTCAATTATTGCCAAATATTACAAAAACAAAAATAGATGAACAGCTCTCTTGCCTTTTCTTCCACCACTGGCCTTCTTCTAGTCATCCTCTGACACATCAAAGCTACAGCCCTTCCCATTCCAAGCCCCACCGCCCACATTAAATTTGAATAACTTCAGAGTGGTGAGAGGAGCAAGTCATAAGCACCTGCCTTGGACTGTGTGATTCTCACAAGGTCAATGCTTCATAATCTGTTTATCTCAAAACACTAATATATTTTCAAATGTTTGTAGGTGTTCTTGAAAAGATAGTTCCATAGGCAAAGGGTAAAAAATACTGAAGTGAGCAAAGTTAAACAGGTTGGTTTATTTATTACATGATAAGATAATAATTCTTATTGTATCTAAGATATTTTGAGCATTTCCTGTGCACCTGGAACTATGCTAAATGCTTTACATAAAATATTTTCTTTAATCTTCATGACAACCTAGGGAAGTAGATACTACTATTCTCCCTATTTTATAGTTGAGGAAACCAAGGGTAGAACTGTCTTAATTATTAGTTTGATTGGTTAAGTAGCTTGCTTAGTTTTGGGCAGGGCTAGAGTTCAAACTAGGATTATTTAACTCCAAAGCCAAGCAATATATTTAACCAGTTTGATATATAGTCTTCCTGCAGGATCTTATCAGAGCATTTAATAGGCTAGTGTGATTGTGAATTTCCAAGAGGGGGATGCAATAAACAGCATTTCCCACTTATTGGATTCTAACCTGCCTTTTTTCTACAGAATCCTGAGCCACCTACAGAACACTGTTCCTATTCTACCCCTAAGGTGAGGATAGAATTTCCCTTTTCCTCTCTCACCCTTTTTTGTTGTTCTTTTTTCAAGAATAGTCCTATAGTTGTGCATTTTATACTCCTTTAGGAGCTAATTCCCAATTAAAGAAAGACTTCTCCCTGCCTCCAAAGCCAAAATATTCATATTTCTTAATATCTTTGTCTTGGGATAATATATCTTGTGCCTCTGACTCCTTCTTGGAGTAGTGGAAGCTTCTCATGAAGTTTTTATTATTTTTCCATGGCCCGAGGGCCCAAGAGAAGTCAGGAACTTCACCTTTTATCATTAGTTAACACTTCCTGTGTCTATGTCAAGTCTTCTGTGGGGACAGATACTGTCTTTTAGTACATTTCATAATGTTTACCAGTGCACTGCACACAGTAGGCATTCAAGGGTAATGAGGGATATGGCCTCTCAGGTCCTTTCCAGAACTAGGAAATCTAAGTTCATATTTGAAATATAATTTATTTTTCATGCATCCTATCTCAAATGCATTTCATTTTGAATGCACACCAAATACATCAGTATTTAGTTATGCTTTAATTGGCCAGCTTTCCAAATACCCAAAGAAAGCAGTAGAAAGCTCTCCAGTAGCTAACTGTGATCACATTAAACTCCAGAAGTAGAAGTTTTACTAAAATTTGCTATTTCATTTCCTCTTGTTTCCTACAGTTTATTGAAACTGACACATATGGGTATTCATGTTCTTCTTACACAAATTTTAGTGCAAATAAGTACAGTGTGTTTTCTACATTTGTCACCCCTTTAAACTCAATCTTCTGAAAATCCATTAATGAAAAGCTGGCTAGACAGAAACTTAACAGGGTTCCTTTTCTTATCCCACTACACACGTGCCTCTTAAAATAGATCTTTATGTCGGCCTAATTGGTAATGCACATGCAGATGCATAGTTAGTTGCCCAATTGCCCAAGCAACCAGGTCGCAATGGGTGTAGATGTATTTTTCTTAGGATATCTGCTGGCAAATAGCTTCAGTGATTTAGCCTGTGGAAAACGAGCTGTGTTTTGCTTAATGTTTTAGGTTAGGGAGTGGCTGGCAGCATTCTGTGAAAAAGTGACACTTTCAACACTGTAAGTGATTTACTGACTTTATTTAACAATATCTAAACCATTTTAACCAACAGTATCATATAGCTTGGCACATTATACCACTACAGATCTTCCGGAAAGGATGAAATGGCCAAATATTTACATGCATTCCGTTTTCTTTACATATTTGTATTTCTACCATTTTGAAAATTAGAATATAAACATTCTGTTTAAAAATCTGTTCTCCCCCACATACTGCATATTCAAAGAGCAAACACACTTTTTCCCTTTGATGTGTGTGTGTGTGTGTGTATACATATATATGTAGGTATATCTGGGTTTCCATACTTTAATATCTATGTCCACCTAACAGCTCCAACTCTTTGTTTTATGATGTGGAGCAAAATTATAAAATCTGCTGTCCCTGTAATTACATTGCCCTTTGTCGTCTCTTAAAAAAAAAAAGAAAGAAAAAAAAAGGTTGTGTTCAAATTTTCCCCCTGTTTTATTTGCACCCTATTAACAACTGTTACTGGAGCTTTAATTATGCCCCGGTGATTGCGGAGTTGTGGCTGACTTGTGTCATTTTCCTCCCAGGGGATGCTTTATAATTACCAGCATCCATCGTGGCTGCCTGTAAGCTGATGCTTTTTTATTACCAGTTCAATAATCACTGCATCCTTGCGAACATCTGCTCTGCAAGCCATGCATCGGGGGTCCCAGCGCCTGTCACTTGATGTTCCCTCACCACCGTGACCTTGGTGCCCTCGCCTTCGGTTTATATCTAATTTGTTTACCAGAGGCTCTGTCCAGAAAGTCTCCCAGGAATGCAATTAATACACTAGATTTGCAAACAAAAGAAAATTTTGCCCTTTCTCTCCTTTCTCTTTTTCCAGATTATTGTCTTACTCTTAGATTCCATAATTCCTATTCCTAGGAGAATGAATACGTTTAAGACTTGCCAAAACAGAGAGAATGAGACATGAGTTTATTTGGGAGCTATCCTCCTACTTGTATTGAAAGTAAGTAGACATTTTAATGGTAATTTTACCCCTGAAAATATAGGATGGTGACTAGTGAGTTACAACAGGAAATTTTATATTGTATATTTTATATTTATATTGAAGTATATTTTATACTTCGTTCATGTGAAGGAAAGGACAACTCGTTTGTCCCCATTCTGATTTTATTTTCTTCCTAACCCCTGTCTCATCATTTACTTTCTTATCTTAAACAAGCCTTGCTGCTCTTTGTTTTGTGGAATAATTCCTTTCTCTGCAACCATTCTCCTTCTTTTGGGCCTTTTGGGTTCCTTCTTCTGTCTTTTCCTTCTTGCTTGTCTCCTTACTTTATCAAAATAATATAAGTCAAAGATAAAAATGGGTAAAAACAACACATCTCAGGCATAGCTTCTGGTTGTCCTGATGGTGCTTCTCCCTTCTGACTCACTATTTATTGCTAATACAGCTAATCTGGGCACTGCTTACTAATCCTGGCTAGGTCTGATTTTTTTAAATAAAAACTAAAGTTTCAAAGTTTCAGTTATTTTCATAAGTATATCAAAAACTGTGCTGCTATATTTGGAGCAGACAACAGAACATTGACCAGATCTATGCAGTCATTTGACATGCACACATGGCCTTACCCTTTCATGTTTGTAGGTAAGTGACACTGCAGACCTGGTGAGACTGTTTCATGTATGTCCAATATAATGCATGTATTTGCTGAACCACCTAAACCATAGTAATTCCTAAAATCTCAAAAGTAGAAACAGCATAGGTTAAACCTGCAGCAAAGTCAGGGAGAAGGAAGGTTGTCTATGCTGCCGCTGCCACTGCCCTAGACGAGCATTGAAGAGAAGGCTCAACCTCATTCTCTGTACCCATAGGACCTAGTATTCTACTTAGTCCATAGTGTTCACTGACTAAATGTTCCTTCAGTGATTGGATTACTTACTTGTAGATGAAATTCTATTGTAGAGTCATTAACAAAATATACCACTTAATCCCAACCTGGGATGAAAAATATCCACATGTGCACGCACACGCGTGCACACACACACACACACATACACACACACACACAAAGACTATTACATAAGACCTTGAGACTACTGGTCAAGACCATCATTCAAATCCATGTTTGAGGCACCCCTCAGACACAGAGTTTAGTTTAACTTCTATAGAGAAACAGAAACTAATTGCATTCCCAGGAGATGAAAACAAGGCTGACTGCACAAGAACAAGTACTAAGTAGGACTCTCTTCTTCTCTTACCTCCCACATGGCCGAATCTCCACTCAAGAGTCTGAATAATGCTCCTATTGACTGCAACCAAGGGCTACATTTTACAGGGAGTGAGAGAGAGCAGACAGAGTCATGCTGCCTAAACCTGGCCCTACTCACCTACTAGCTTGGTGGCGAGATCTAATATCTAATCTAGCATCTAATGGAGCTGTGGAATATCTGCCCTGAGTTGCTAGTGTAAGACCTGGATTTGAACTTCAGGACCTAGGAGATAAAGTGGAGACAACCATAAGGCAAGTAAAAAAGAGAATGAGCATAGAGAAAGAAGAAAGGAATAAAGGGAGGAAGCAAGAGAAGGAAAGAGTAAGAAAGGAAGGAAGGCGGGTGGGCCAGACACAGCCAACAAAATTCATAGCTGGAAGATTAATTCACTACAGATAAAATGAAAATAGTAGCATAATCTACAAATTTCTTTTTCAAAAAAGATTATGGTTAGGACTCAAAGAATTTTTGAAAAACTAACCCCAATCCTAAATGTTTAAAAAGAAAAGATATCATAAAAGAAAACAGAAGTAAACAATGTTAAGTGGATGTGAAAAAGAAACAATTAGAAATCCAGAAAATGGAAAACTATAAAAAATAATTGAAATTTTAAATCTCACAAATTAAACTTAAACTTCATATTGTTAAATATAGAATGGGTAAGTTGGAGGGCAGGCTGCTCCCGGCGTGGGAGCCAGCCTGAGCTCGCTTCTCCAACACCACCTGGAGCTTGGCATAGATGGCATTCAGCTTCAGGCCACCCTTGCGATTGGCCACCATGGCGGGCTTGCCTGCAGGTGGGTCTGTGCGCCGGGTGCCCTCAGCTGCAGGGATGGAGGAGGGCATGGAGGTCAGAGGCATGCAAGCCCAAGCACAACCCACCCTCCTGAACAGCCCTGCATCCCCCAAGCTGCAGGCCTCCCCCATCAACTACAGTGCCATCAAACTGCCCTGAGACTGCCTGGCCCGTGTCTGACTGAGAAATTGCTCCAGAATGCAGCACCAAAAGATTAATAAATTAAATAATATGAAATAGTAGTTTAGACAACAAAATTAACTTATGAGGACCCAATGTACATTTAATATAAATTCCAGCAAAAGAAATTGGTGGAATGGCAGAGAAATGAAATTTAAAAAGGCAATGCTGGAGAATATTCCAGGTTTGAAGACAGACAGGTGCAGTACAGTTAAAAACATCAAGGGTTGGAAAACTAAACTGTGTATAGTACTATATTTTTCAAAATTAGCATTATTTTGAAGAGTTTTAAAATGTTCCAACTATAGAAAAGTCACGAATAATAAATGAGAAATTGCTTATGTAATCCTTCTAGCCCATCACTGAATATACTTTACATGTGTTCAATTTTATTTTTTCCTTTTTTAAAATTTTTTCTATTTAATTTGTTGAATTGTCTTTATGACCACCACTTTTTAAAGAGAACATGAAAGTCATTTGAAAGTAGAGACCCATTTTAGATACTTATCCCAATTTTCAATGTATTTAGCATAGAACTTTGTTGATGTTGCAAACTTTAAATCCCAGAGAGTCTATAACACACACTGACATTTAAGACAACAAAATACAAGGTAAAACTAATTTTCACAGCTACAGTCTATGAGGGAGATAGGATAGAAAATTGATCGCTCTTACTGCCAAATAATATTATTTGCTAAAGCTCTTAAGATGCTTCCAATGTTTGTGCAACATCCTCACAAAATTTTTATGGAGAGAAAACTAGCTAGCAGGGATTAATATTTGTATCTATTTTTTAATAAGTTCATAAAACTCAGTTAATACAAGTATAAACCATAAATCAACATACGTGGGTTGAGGGAATCCTAAATTATAGAAAGTGATTAGTTCCTCAGCAATTAGCAGTTTATTTCAGCGCAGTTGAGGGTCTAGGGATTTGACGTGATGTTGCTGCCTACCCATGAAGGCAGATGAGCAGCATAATTACCTTCTGCCCCAGGACATGGAGTAAGGGAAGATGGACAGGAAGAAGGACAGGACAAGCCAGCAGCATCTATTCTGGTGTCAGTATGTGAATGTGTAGCTGAAACAGGTGATGGACTTGTCCTGTACCTTAAAGTTAGGATATGAAGCCATATCAACAGCTGACATCACCATAAGTGGGATCCAATATTCCCTCACTTCAGCCCTTAATGGCTTCCCCCAGCCTTCCCTACTATACTACTGCTACTACTACTACTACTATAGATTATTGACTGCTTCTGATTGCCATAGCACTGTCTGCTTCCTTCCTTTGTTCTCCAATTTAGTGTTCTGCCTTCCTTTGCAGGACTGCTGGATGTACATCGCAGTCCTCAGGACCCCCTGCCTCTGAGTAAACCCATGAGGAGTGCTGCCATCTGGTTTGTCAAGCCCAATGCTGAAAGAGGGCTCAATTTTCTCAAGTGAAACTAAGGTCAGAGCAGAAAGGGACCACAAAATGCCTCAACTGCTGTGTGATAGAGAAAGCTATTCACAGGGAGGCGTACTGGGAAAGTTGTTGGACACTGGTTGCTGCTGACCACAGTACCCTGTTGGAAGCAGGTGCTGGAGAAGCAGCCCATGTCACAGAGCATGGCATTGGAGAAGCTGCCTTGAGATAAAGGCAGAACGGACTAGATAATTGCAGGGCCTAGTACAAGACAGCAACAGCAGAGCACTAAGCAATCATAGGGCCTTGAGTGACTGCACAGGCTGCATGCCCATGAAGGTGGTCCTGGGTGTAGAAACTGGGCACTGGAGAAGACACTTGTGCTATAGGAGCCAGATGCTTGAGATGCCATCTCTGCCATAGGGGTCTGCCAATAGAAGCGAACAGGAACCAGGAAGGAAAAGTCCTTCCTCCTGCAGTGTCTTCCCAGTGCCCTCAATAAACATAGCTTATCATGGTGCAAGCAAGAAAAGGAAAAATATTTAAAACGCTCACCTATATTTTGCAGATCAGTCAGTAATAAGTGAATTTGGAGCTGAGGGACAATTCATTGATAACTGGCACAAGTAGCTAAGGCCAGTGGCACCGAGATGTGGTAAAATCCTTGGCTCATATCAAACTCAAATCCACAAATCTGACCTCACAGACATTTCTCTATTTACTTTTTGCTGAGAAGGAAAAAAATACATTTAAAAATATTAGTTGGTTCATTCTGGTTTCCATCTAGGCTTAATCAAAATATTACTAAGGCTCTTAACACACAATTTTCTTGACCAGAACAAATACAGCCTTAGGCCCAATTGTCTAATCCTTCAATTAGTCTAAATAAGCATACCTAGACTATGAAGTTCTGCCAATTTAATGTCCTGCCCTTTATTCACCAGAGTGCATTTCTGTCTCTAATAGTTTTCTGTTTTTAAAATAAGAGAAAAAAGTTGAGTCACTCATTCTGTAGTTGTTAGTTGGCTCAAAACATTTCACTGAAACACAGGATTAGGATGCATTTGACAGACAAACCCATTAGGTCTTTGCCTGCGTTGGGCAGATTCTTGGCTTCTGGTTCTGTTAACCTGATTGGCAAGTGATTGAAACTGATTGACGGATGTGGCAGTGAAAACCCAGTGCGTTAAACCCAGAATGTGTGGTTTTACAAAATGCATCACTTAGACTAAGCGAAGGGATTCACCACAGGCTGACTGTGATCAGTCAGAAAGGGTGCTGCCCTCACTGCTAGCACAATGGTTCCCTGCATCATGACACTTGGAATGTACAGCCTGTAAAGGAGAGGCTGGCAGTAAAGCTGGTGAGGCCTTAGCCTGGTGTATGCTACCAAGGCACAGGGAGGGGGCCACAGCCATGCAGCTTCTGCCAGGGAACCTTCCTCATGCTGCATTATTTACAATGATGATGACGGTCTGGGGAGAACAGGGAGATGAACAAAGTTCTGGAAACTCTTTCCTCTTAATCTTCATCCCTGAGAGCGGTACATGGCAGGGGTGCCCTAAACCTGTTCCCTTTCTTCTTCCTCTCCTTTTATACTTCACAGTGCACTTTAAATTCCATAAAGGCAGAGGGCAGAGACGCACTATTTTGCTTTCTCGGTGTGTTTTCAGATGCTGAAACAGCATTTTGCACTGTGATACGGTGCTATACATAGCACTTTTTAAACCTTGGACCTTAAAATGCTACTTCCATGAGGACAGGAATTTTCATCTGTTTTGTTTGCTGCTATATTCCCAGCACCTAGGAGGACTGACACTCCTGTGAACTTTAGTAATCCCCTTTCCCTGTCCCCCTTTCTTAAGAACACTTTACTTTGGACGTGATAGTAGGGGATTGCCTGCCCGGTCCCCTCCCTTTTACTTCCCATTGGATCTACACTGGTACCTCTAATCCCTCAATATCTTTATGGTGAGCTCATGAGCCCATTCCATGACAATGGTGGTTTCGTTCAGGAGTAGCCAATCAGAGTCGTCCTCTGAGATATTTCAGTCTGTTACTGAAAGATAGATTTAATCCATTCTGGTGGTAGAAGCAATGAAGAGATAAAATTTAGGATTTGTCTGTAGCCATGTTGCCTCACAAGAAAAAAGTAGTACCACCTGGATTGAGAAAATAAAGTCTATACAGAAGAGGTGGAATAAAAAGATTGAGTGACAGAGTCCTCATAGTATCCAGGACTCTGGTTTACAGTTGTACCTGAAACCAGCCACATCTCTGGTCTTTCTGTGGGTTCAATCTTCAATTCTTTCTGGGTTTCCATTAATAAGTAGATCCTCTTTCACCCTAGCCAGCTCAAAGTTTAACTACAAGAGTCAGACACTCTTGCCCTCCAAGATCTATTTCCACATAGCAGGCAGGGTGGCATTTTTTAAACATCTCTCTGCTTTATTAGAATTCTCTGATGGTTTTCTACTGCATCTGAAATAAAATCCAAACTCCTTAAGATGGCTAACAAAGCCTCTGCCTTCTTCTTTAACCCCACCCTGCTCCACTCTCCCTTTTCCCCCTGTCCTCTTTAAATTCCTTAGTTATGGTCTTTGCACAAGCTGGCCTTTTTTCTGGGAATACCCTTTCCTCCCTCTTCATTTGCCTCGGTCTTTCTTTTCACTCAAAGCTCAGCTCAAGTGCTGCTCCCTCAGAAAGACCTTTCCCGATCACCTGACATAAATGGTCACTCAACCACCCAGTATTTCCACACATTCTTTCATTTTTGATAACAGAGAATTATCTTCCAGGTGGCATTTTTCTTATTTACTCATTCTTTATTATCTATCCTTTCCAACCCCAGTATCCACAAGAACAGGGTCTTCATGTGTCTTGTTCACCTGCATGTCCCCAATGCCTAGAACTGTGCCTAGCACATAGTTAGTGTTCAATAATTCTGTCCTGGATGAATACATTGATAACACACCTTGTCATCCCAATACCAGCTGTCCACCAGGCTTCAGATGAAGAGGAGTGTAGCTCCTCATAAATAACAAAAGGTTTGGGGACCTGTTCATGCTACTAAAGTGCCTTTCATAAAAATACTTCACCTTAAAACCACAGTACATAGGACACTCTATTTGGCATTTCATCCAGTAGAAGGATGCAGGGTAATTATATTATAACTACAAACATGACTGCATACCTTAGTTGGTTGGGAATTAGATATTAGAGATGTGGACATGAAAAAGACATCATCCTACTTATTCCAAAGGACTGCTCAATTAAGACTGACATGAAGAGGTATGTAAAATAAAATAGGTTATTTTTTCTAAGTCCTTACTACATGCCAGGCACAAGGGTTGACATGTGTTAACTTGTTTAAGCCTCATGAAACCCTATGACGTAGGTACTGGCCAAGGTCTCAGGCCCAGTTAGTAGGAGCTCCAGGCTACAAATACAGGCAGTCTACTCCATGCTCTTGACATTATTCCACACCATCTATATATGCTCTGAGTACACCAGAGCCATCAATGAATTTGGGCAACACGAAAAGAGCTATTATTTAATTATTTGATTTGGTAATTCCATGTAGCCCACAGCTGCATACGTAAGGGCTAGCTGAGATCTTAAATATGATCAATAAGTAGTGAAAGTCCTTGGAATAAGGGTACTTTTCTTTTCAAAAACTATAAATATTAATGATACCATGCAGCCAGACATGCGGCATTGGGGGAATAAGGGTACTTCTTCATTCCCATTCTCATTATTCCATTTCAGCTCATGAATAACTGGATGGAGTTTGTGGTCTTCTTTCCAAATCAATGAAGTGATTTTCAAGTTAGAAGAGTAATTCAAATTTACTGTCCATATATCCATGTCATTTCTACCCCTCCTCTAAACCTGATATATATGATTATTTAGGAATGCTTCAAGTTTAAAGCCAGTGTCTACATGATGAATATGCAGGTACTCAATCAAACACTCTGATTAATGATAATGTGATCATTTGTCAATGTTAAGTTATCAACATTCACAGAAGGCCAAGCATGCTGCTCTCCACCCACAACCCCAATCAAAGCTGGCTGGGTCTCCACCCACAAGAAAAACATCAGCCCTTTAACACAGCATGTCAAATCACCTGCTGATGAGTCAAAGGAGTAAGAAAAATAGTATGTGTGTTTGTGCTTAAGTGCTGCCTTATTAAAAGTGGTTTCCATCGTTTCTATGTATTGAGGGAACACTCACTTATGGAGAGCAGTTCAATGTATTGATAAGAAACTAATTTTTAAAAATCCTATTGTTGTTCATTTCTCCTTTAACAAACTGATATTTTTGTCCAATAATCTACTTTTGAGCTTCAGTAGCTCAATAAAAAGGAGTCCTTCCTTTTCCATCTATAGCAAGAATCTAGAGAAAAAGAAAAATACAGACCATAGTTTTTCTGTATGCACCAGTAATTAGGCCATTGTAAAGGCAAAGTTGGTCAAATATATCTCTTTGGTGGAGAATGTAATTTTACCATATCACCACTGACTATCCTAAGTAATTTTCTGAGAACAATTATAATTCATTTTACTTTACTTGACCTCAGTAAATACTGCTTTGAAATTAAAAACTACTGCCAGGCATGGTGGTTCACGCCTGTAATCCCAGCACTTTGGGAGGCTAAGGCGGGCAGACCACAAGGTCAGTAGATGGAGACCATCCTGGCCAACTTGGTGAAACCCCACCTCTACTAAAAATACAAAAATTAGCTGGGTATGGTGGTGTGCACCTGTAGTCTCAGCTACTTGGGAGGCTGAGGCAGGAGAATCGCTTGAACCTGGGAGGCAGAGGTTGCAGTGAGCCGAGATCACGCCATTGCACTCCAGCCTGGTGACAGAGCAAGACTCTGTCAAAAAAAAAAAAACAAAAACCTGCATATCACTATAATGACTTCATTACACATCTCTGAAATATCTGAGGACAATAAATTCAACAGTGTTGCTCAAGTACAAAGATGGAAGGCAAATGATACAGGTTTGATGCATAAATGGCCACTCAACCACCCTGTGTTTCCATACATTCTTTGGACAAGTTAGTTTCTTTATTGAGCCTCAGTTTCCTCACCTGTAAAATGATTTGGATACTTAACACATGTGGTCTTTGTAAGTTGTACATAAACATTTATGTAAATCACAGACCATAGTTAAGACTAGCAGATACCCCATAAACATTACAGTAACTATTATTCTTATCATTAATAATCATTCATACTATTATTCTATATTATAATAATTTATATTCCTTGTGAGAAACTGAAGGATTGTATCACAGGCAACAAAGATTATTTAAAGTTGAACTTCATTGTGGTCTTTGATAATTAGGCATTTTTCTCAGCAACAGTCTCATCTATTCTTATTCTTAAACATATTAAATATTCAAATTGCACTGCCCAGTTGTAAATATATTCTTACTACTGAAACACGTACGTAAATGTAAGCAGAATTAATGCTTAGTTGATGTATTATGGAAGAGAAGAGGGCTACTAAGTAAATATCACTTAAGCAAACTTACACAACTTTTATTGCTTTCCATGACTTTTCTATAGGAAAAAAGTCTCACAAGTAATTAAGTGGAAACACTGAGATGAGGAATGGTGTTTTCATACTTAGCAGTATCTTCTTGGCTACGGCACCCCCTCCTTATTTACTTGCCTTTCTCTCCTATCTTCCTTATCTTGATTTTTTCCAGGCCATAAGAATGTCTGCAATTAATAGTGACCTTCTAATATGTATCTAAAATGTCTAGAATTTACTTTTCTAACCTTCCCTTGGTCTAACTTTCTACAAATTAGCAGAATTGGGACGTGTTCATACCTGGTTTTGGTTACTCATGTCTTCTAATAATCTTAGCCTAATGGCTGGGAAACTGGGCTTCAAGGCTATACTGTCTGGGTTCAAATCCCAGCTCTGCCACTTACTGTTTATCCTTAGACAAGAGACTTCATACTGTAGGCCAAGGGTATCTCATCTCTAAGTGAAAATTATAACATTAATCCCTATCCAAAAATATTGTTATGAAGACTAAAGGAGTTAATCTGTCTGCTTAGTGACTGCCACATAAGAATTACTCAATGAGTGTTTGCCATTATTATAACAGTTCCTACATTTTTTAGCTTAAGATATTTTTCAGGCACAACAAAATGGTTTTATGACCTTAATTAGTGCTCCCCTTCTTTCCCAACTTAATGGCTGTAAATTTCTATAAAACATCTACTTAAAATATAGTCTTAAAAGTCTATGGTATTTGCTATGACCAATATTTTTCAACTAGTGAATATCCAACATCAACTTAGCAGACTAATTCTACTTTGGCAGTTTTTTTAAACGATGTTTTATTTAACTAATCAATATTATTTATTATGTTTTATTAGCCCATCAAATGCATGATTCTTAACCTTAGTAAGGAGAAAAATGATATGCTTATAATTTACTTTGTCCTACATAGTTAACTGTTAGCAGCAGAAATACCTTTAAGCTGACTTAATTGGAGAGAAGTAAGCCACAAATGAAAGAGAAATATTTACAATCTAGAATGTTGCCCTTGTCATTTCTTCAATTACTTCCACCTTTAGAAATGCATCATGGAAATAGAAATTTTAAATTACCTATGAGGGCCGTCAAAATAAGTTCTGTTAGTTTATCGAGTTTTAAAAAGTCTTTGTAACCATAAAAAAAGATTTGAAGCATTTTTATGAGGTCTGAGATGCAATGTTTAGAGCTAACAAACTAGACACTTGGGTAAAGTCTAACCATCCAAAACTTCTGCGAGACTTATGAAATCTGCATAACATAGGAAGACCATCTGCATTCCTGTCATGAAAGTTCCCACTGAGTGTCGTTCAAACACCAGTAAGAGTTTCTTACGATTCCCAAATGGTTTATAAAGTATCATCACATGCAGTTTCTTTCGTATCAGGAGACAAACTTTGCCTGTCTTACCTTTCATCCTAGCATAAACCAGGTCTCTTACAAATCATTATTTGAGAGGGTTATCTATCAGCCTTGAAGTCTTTCTTCCAGCTTGGGTGGCCACTCTAGTTAGGGTTTGTGCCTTTCATTGGCATGGTACTTTACTGACTACTTTCGTACATAAGAAGATATCTAGATTCTATTAAATTCTCATGGTTTACTAATTAACTTCTGCTCATTCCTGTTGCATTCTTTTTTTGGGTTGTATAAATAATTTCTATTATTTTTATTCATCACCACAAAATGACATGACCTGCTTCTTTCTACAGGCCTGCTGTGTTTCTCAAAATAGAAGATGAATCTATAAAGGAGATATGCTTCTCCCTATTAATGCCAGCTTTTTACTTAAGCACCAAATTCTCAGAGGAAACAGAACATGTGTTCCCCCAAACAAAACAAAACAAATCTCATTAATAAAGAATATTTTTATCTATGAAAAAGAAAGGCAGAGGTTTCAGAAGATCAGTAACTTCTGACATTAAAAATCACAGTATCACAAAGACAAAAGCAATGCCATCATTTTCATTTCAATAATGTGTTTCTTTCCCAAGTAAAAAGAGGCAATTGAAAATGCAACTTTTGTTTATTCGCAATGCATTAAGGAATGAAAGTTTACTCAAAATCGGTAATTTTATTTATTTTCATGAGCAGAGAGGAGCAGATTTTTCACCAATACACTTTTTTTATTATCAGGTTAAAAGCATACTTCCTTGAAATCTTAGTATCATTAACCCTTTACAACAAGTTGTCCATTTTTTAAAGTCTAGGGAGGATTTTGCTTTGTAGCAGGAATATTAGGTAAGTAAAAAAACATATTTGCTAATGAGAAAAAGTTATAATCAGCATTCCTGCTGCTCTCACATGCTTTCCCACTTGTTCTTTCTTCACTCAAAATCAATGTTATTTACAGTGGACTTTGGTTTGAAATTCATGCAAATAATGCCGTGTTTCCACTGTTTGTCAAAGGTAAATAGGCAAACTGCTCCTGAGTCACAAGACTGGTTTTTGCCAAATTTATTAAAATACTTTATGTTCAATTTTATAAGAGATTGTCAGTACTTCTTATTCACAGCAATTTCCTTTCCCAGAGACCAGTCTCGAAAATACTTTCAAACCAAGTCTGTACCTAACATCATTGGTGACTGATCTACGACAGACCCACAATGTGTTCTGTGCTTGAGGATCATCATGAAAGACAATTCAGACTAGGACTAATTTTGCCTTTACTCTGGTTCATAACTGAACCAGCAAGGAAGTACTATAAAGGATATATAAACTAAGAAGATGAGCAAATGTACACAGCTCCCCAGTGCCTCTCTAACTCCTCACAGAGATGTCCCTAAAGTTCAGTGATCAATAGGGACCACAGACAGTGAGAAACTGCCAAAAATGAGAAACCGATGCCCAGGGACTCAATTCCCTTTTGTACAAGTGGTCACGTCCACACATAGTAAAGTGACCACAGTCTACTTGACCTCTATGTAAGGACTTCTTGCCATAATTGCATCCTCCTTATTCTATTACACCTGGGTTGGCAGGCCTATTTTTTTTTCTATATCTGGCTTAATAAAGACAGATATACATCCACTTCTGCATTCAACCTATTATAAGTTGTTTTGGTTGCAGTACATGAAGAAAATCTAGCATCACACAGATATGTAAATGGAAAAGGAAAGAAAAATATAGTAATATTTTCAGATAATTATTCTTCTTTGACAATACATCAACAATTGGTAGTTTCTTAAAAGCTGGTGGTGTGGAATCTGAAACATATCAATAAGCTTTTCATATTCTGTTACATTAAAACCCACTGATCTATCTCACATTTACATGAATCTTTTATCCATGCATAATTTTGTAATATTACAAACTGGTCATTTAGAAAATATTGCTTTACCAAATAATACAGATCTTTAAAATGTTGATATATTTTTTGTACAATATCAAAAATCATATTTGACTATGTAACCACCAATCTCGTAAGACAGTATGTATGTATGTACATACTAGAAAGCAGTTAAGCTCATTGTGGAGAAAACGAATTTCCCCAAATCACACAAGAGGTTTTCCTCAAGATAGCCATTGTACTTTGATATACAGCAGTGTTTTATGCATATTTTCCATAAATTACTAAAAAAGTACTCAAGGATTAAGATTTAATAAAACTAATCATTTTTGCTTCACAAAAGACATTATTAAATGAAACTTATTTATTTTACTGTGAGTGCATGGTGGTGATAAATATAATGACCACTAGTACAATTTGGTGCCACATTCCTACAAGGCACTAGCAGTTTTATCCAACAATGTTTTGGTGCCATAACTGCAAATAACAAGAAAAGAAAATATTGACCAGGACAAACCATCAGATTCAAAACAATGATTCAATACTTGAGTAACTCCAATGCTTTGAATATTTCAACCACTTGTTTGTTTGACAAACATTCACAAAAAAAACAATTATCTTTGGGTGATTAGTTGGTGGTAAGACCTCCTGGTATCATAAGCAAAACATAAAGCAAACATAAGCAAAACAGCAAGTCCATCCATGGCTGTAGAGCCCCCCTTTTGAGAGACAAAAGTACAACACTGCCCATGAAATATTAACTCAGCCTTCCAGTTTATAGCTAAATCTTTAATAAAATGAGTCAGTTGGCACTGTCATTTTTTTCTTTTTTACTGATTTTTAATCCAGCAGGCATACAGCAATGTCTACTGTACAAGCTATTGTATGAGCTTCTCCAGCCAAGGCAGTGTAATAACTTACCCTGCAAAATGATTCATTTTTCATTTCTAGTTTGAAAAATTGTAATAAACTTTTTTGCTTTTTAATGAGCTTATCATGTCTACATGAATGTCTCAATGATGCTGCAACGTAGCTGATACCCTAATAATATTCAAAAATATTCTAGTGCATAAGATACAATGACATGATTTCTGGTATGTATAAAGCCAAGGATAAGATAGCTTTCATCATATTTTCCTCCCTCTTTTACATTTTTTTGCAATTTATTTAGTGTAAATTATTCTTCCATGAGATTTCATCTTTTTCAGAAATTTTAGACAAAACACACAACTACTTGGGAAGACAAGCCTTCTAATCTCCTTTCTGTAAACCAATAATCAAACTTTAAATGCAAAAATATATTACTTATTTTTTTAATTTCCAGGCTTTCTTGAGATATAACTAGCAAAAATCATATACGTTTAAAGTATACATGTTTTGATATATGTGTACATTGTGAAATCATTACCACTATCAAGGTAATTAACATAATTACCTTTTTTTAGGATAAGAACATGTAAGATTTTCTCTATCAGCAAATCTCAAGTATACAATACAATATTATTAACTATAGTCACCTTGCTGTATTTTAGATGTCCAGAACTTACTCATCGCACATAACTGAAACTCTACCCTTGGACTAATATCTCAAATTGATCAATTTTTTTTTAATTTTAGAAGAAATATCTCTAAATACTAAATACAGTTAAAATAAATTTTAACATTTATAAAATATTTAAAAATCTTTTTCTTAATATTATTGCAAGAGAAGACACAAACTATACCTCTTGTATCCCTGTATAGGTGCAGAGAAAGTTTCATCACTTAAAAATAAAAAATTTATTGAACAATAATGAGTTGCAGAGATTACAGATGGCATAATCACAAATAACTCATGTAAACACCATAGAAGTGATTGAAAACCAACAGTTCATATCTAAAATCACACATATATTTATACCCTCAAACCACTCTTTTAGAAAATGTCATTGAACACAAGAATTCACCACCTACAACAACAAAAAAATCTACTGGTTGTCAGATCACTAACACCAGCACAAGTTATGTGGCATCTGGAAAGCTTTACTGTACACTCATGACAGAATGGAGGAGAAAACGCAAATATTGAATTATTATTATGTATTATTATGAAAATAGCTTTCTTTTTGCAACATCCTAAAAGGATCTCAAAGAACCTTTGGAGGCCCTGAGCCACATCTTGAGAATCATTGCATATATATTATTACAGACAGAACTATTTTATCATTTGTTTATGAGTTACAAATTTTGAACAGTGAAGTAGCTTGAACTCTAGCTCAGCCAACTAAGTCCTGGCATGACGAAAAACAAGATTAGAGGTGAAAAACCTAATTAATTTCACCTGGAGGATGGGACTCTTACAAACATATTATACTGTCAATCATCTAGCAGTTTTGTAAGCTCATGAGATAAGTGAGCATGAATAAGATTGTGACTTCCCAAAGTTTTCAAGTCTGACACATTTTTTTGAAGATCAAAAATATTTGCAAATATCCCACATGATAGCAAATGTACTGTTTTTAAGTTTCCATTCATTGAAAAAGGAAAAGGCAATTGTACAGACTATACGGGATAATACATGTAAACTGCTTAGCATATGCCAGGCCTATAGTAAGAGCTAATTAACAATCTAGTCCTCCTCCCTCCAAGAATGTCTTTCCTCAACCTAATAAATAATAGAAAATTTACCAAAAATTCTAGGCAAGAATTCAAACTCTGAATCAGTGCAACAAAAGGTCTCCAGTGCAAAATTTAAAGAAATATATATTTATTGTAGCAAGAGATTGCAAACTGTTGAGAAAGATTCAAGCTGGTTCCAGATGAGGCAGAGACAACCTTGGATTGGCAGCAAACTTCAGGATTATGTGTATGTAGCTAAGTAAAGAACATCAAAAGTCCCATTTGTAAAAGCCATTGAGGTCTTAGTACTTCAGTATTTTCAGTATTATAGAACCTCTAAGTCTATGGGTAGTTATCTCTTCCATCCATGAAAACTCCAGTGTATAGACTATTTGCTTCTATAGATAGATGTCATTCTGGCATGTAAATGACACGAGTAAAGCAAGACATTCTTTCAGCTATTTTCCAAAGGGCAGTAACAAACCAAATACACTCTGAATTTATTAATTTTCTATTTGTATCTCTCAATGAACCCATCCCCACTGCCCTTAGGCAGACTTAAAAAAAAAGAAATTCTTAACACAATTAAATCAAAACATGCCACGAAAGTGATCAGCAAGACAAACAAACAATAAAACAAACATCAACTCATTCTCAAAACTAATGTCACCTTTTAAAACAAACTTCCCTGTTTCAGCATTGACTTCCCTGTAGCATATGTGCCAGCAAATTGATGGGTCTTGGCTATGAAATTAAAATGCCCAGAATCTGTTAAACAGGGGAAACTGGTTCTATAAAGAACTATCTTCTATTTCAAATGGAATGTGTATTCTACACTTCAGATTTTAAATCCATGACAAGCAAGACTTGTAGTCTAATGGATGGCTTCAGAGTCAGAAAACCTGGGTTTATGGTTTGGCCCTATCACTAGTAGTTGGTTCTTAATAAATATTTATTAAATGAATAAAAAGTCACTGTGATACACTCATAAAAGTCCATGAAATAGTTAAATGACAAGCAATTTAAACCAAAACAACAGCACAGGGGAAAAAGAAGGAAACTTATACTGTGGTAAATATGATCTAAAGGGCTTTTAACTAAAGAGTTCTTTCTGGAGAGTTTCTGCTTTCTGCAGGAGGCAGAAATATATATCAATCCCTTCCCATGAGAGCAGCACACAGAGAGGATAAAGTATTTAAGGACAATATTGGTAGGTATATTTACAGAAATTAGAGAATTTTAACAACTCTTGGAGTTGCAATATCTGCAAGAATTTGTGCGACAGCAAATTCAAACTTAAAGTAACTAACCTATGGAAATAAATGCAAACCCTGAAGTTATTTTGCTGTAAACTGTGAACTCCAAACAACTACAAAGATGGAGAATTCCATGCAATTGGTACACCACTGCAAGCACAAAAAAAAGTCATAGGTGTGACATGGAACAACACAGGTAGTGATGGAGAGTGGCTTAACAGGTAAGAGTCCACAAGCGATTTGGAGGTAGGAGACCACAGAGGAGCAGAACTCAGATCAGGAGCAAGACGTAGTCACCTCTTGCTACAACTACTAGTTAAGATTTTCACATGCATCTTCCAAGAGGATCAGCCTATTATATAAGAATATTACACACAGCCGGGTGCAGTGGCTCACACGTGTAATCCCAGAACTTTGGGAGGCCAAGGTGGGTGGATCGCCTGAGGTCAGGAGTTCGTGATCAGCCTGGCCAACATGGTGAAACCCTATCTCTACTAAAAATGCAAAAATTAGCCAGGTGTGGTGGTACACGCCTGTAGTACCAGCTACTTGGGAGGCTGAGGAAGGAGAATCGTTTGAACCTGGGAGGCAGAGGTTGCAGTGAGCCGAGATCACACCACTGCACTCCAGCCTGGACAACAGAGTGAGACTCTGTCTCAAAAATAAAAAACACAAAAGAATATTACACACCTTAGTTTTAATAAGCCTTAACAATAGAACTGTGATCTAACTATTCTGAGATCCAAAACACATCAGTATATCTTTGTGTGATATGTCCAGTTATTTCAGTTGAATTTATCTTTTTAGCATGTCCTGCTTTATGTGACATTTCTCTCCTTTGCAAACTTTATCCTCTTCAGGCAAAAAGATGATTCATAGAGATAACTCATATCAAAATCTTTATACATTTGAGTGCTATTACTTTGGAGAGTTTTTTGCTTACTTTGTTTTATTTTTTTGTCTTAAGCATTACACTTAAGTTTTCTTTTGTTCAGTAAATTTATAGATTCTTCAGATTGCTACTGTTTCTTGTTTTCTTGATTTCTAGCAATTTCACACTTTTTAAACTCGCCATGAAGAATTAAAGTAGGCAAAAGAGTATAAATCACAGACTTCTCTATATGGCTTGCTTATTGGCAGTTTGGTAAGTATATTAAAAGATTAAGATCATTAATTAACCCAGATTTTTGGTATTTTGTGTATTTTCATTATTAATCTTCTTTTTATTTTCTTTCCCTCCTACAACTAAAGGTTGGCCCTTTAAATAATTACCTTTGTCTCCTGTCTGCACAACCTTGATTAGCTGTGGATCTTTTTTCTGGTTTGTTGATGTCTTCTGCAAATGTTTCAGCTCTCACCAGTGAAAGCTGAAACTGAAGCAACTTAAGAGGTACTTTTTTCTTAACCTCTCCAGTGAATTTTCATCATGTCTTTTGACACACTTAAAAAACCCGATTACCAGTCCTGGGCTGCAACAGAACAGAAGGGTTTGCAACATTCTAGAAAACAACAGCTGGATCTTGGACTTCCATACTTTGTTTCCATTAAGACATTTGTCCTGCCTCTACACCAACAATTTTTGCGCAAGCAATCTTCATTTTTTGAAAGTCTGTGCTCCTGATTTTGAATTCAAGAAAAAAACTCCACTGGTCTTTTTAAACTAGAGCTCAGACTCCCAGACATTAGTCTACCCCTTCATGAAGTGGAACAAGGTGGGGAAGTGAGGTGGAAGGCAGGCAAGCTGAGAAAGTGTTAGACTTTCTAGGCCCTGGTGAGTAGAGACAGGGTGAGTGCTTTCAGTTCTCTCATGAGTACAATGCGCTTAAATCCAAATATAAATGAATATTAAAATGCCCTTCCAGAGACAAATACAAATGCTTAGGGGATTGTCTCCCTTCTATTAGTGCAGGTCTGGAGAAGTTTACAGTATCTTACTAGCCAGAGATATCTACTCTTGTACTCCTTACCCTCTCAGAAAATAGCTAGACCAGAAATGCCAGGCTCTGCTCTAAAAGCACTAAAGACTTCACTAAGCAAATAAAAGTCATTTCCTAAAATCACTGTCTTCGTGAGATTTCTAAATCTAAACAAAACAATGTATTAAGTTGGTGCAAAAGTAATTGTGGCTTTTACGGTTTTTGTTGTTGTTTGTTTTTCTACTCTTTGCAGATTGAAGCATTTCTGGGTTGTTGTTGTTTTTTTCTCCTCTCTAAACACAGATCTTCAACTAAGTCATAAAAACAAAGTATGTTCACCTTTTACAAGAGAGTTAGTCATTGGTCTCTTACAGAAAATGTCCCTATCTTCAGCTTCCTTCTACTCTTTTAAATATATTTTCTATGGAGACAGTGGCTACATTTAATCTGATTCAGAAACCTATCCCTAGTAACCAGCAAAGGAAAATGTTACAGCTGGGCCAGATGACATGGTGCTCACTTTGGGCATCGTGTATTTTTGTGTGTTTGTGTGTATGTGTATTTGTTCATTTATGTGTAATGAGCACCTGTGGAGAGACATCGTAAGTAAGTCAATATTTATTCTCCCATGTGCTTTTAAGAACATTTGGCAGGTTATTTGTTAAGGGGCAGGAGCAAAGGAGATGGAAGAGCATGCCCAAAGCTTTTTAGCATGTCCTGCCATTTTTATACAGAAAGCATTGAACAGATGGCTGTGGCTTCACAAAATTCTAGTTTCAAAGTTGATCGCTCTTAAAGGAGCTTGGATAACTCTTACAAACTCTGCTGATTTAAACCAAACTTTTTTTTTCTCCCCTGTACAGAGTAAATCCAGTTCCCAGTATGCTTTTGTCATTAACAAAAACTCTGAGGGTGGTTTCACAGGGATTTTTATGCATTGTTCTATGTTCTTTGTTTGATTTATAAACTGCTGAGGGGAAATGGGGTTGTAAACCTAATCCAGGTTTATGATATAAAAGGGCAGCACATTTTAGAAACACCTTGTGGTCTTACAAATAGAGTTAACTTTAAGCAATTTATTTAGTTAAGTAACTGACTCAACTATGTATTAAATTGCTGCCAGTTGGAAATAATGGAGCTTGGCAGTTTTACTGTCAAATATAGTGAGTACAGGAAAATAGGTGGAGACGGGAGACTTGCAAAAGAACGAGCTGTTGCAGCATTTAGTGATGGAAAAATCCAGTAATTCACCTTGACTACACTCAAAGGGAAAAAATTGAAAAGCAAGCTTCCACTATTAAACAGTTAATTATAGTGTGTTTATGTGTACAGGGCTTGATTGTTAATTGCTTAAACTAAGTTGCTCTATAAAGACAAGTGCTTGTTGCCTGGATTCCTATGGGCTTAGAGGTTGATCTGAGTGTTGAGCTGGTCTGTTTTCCAGGGTGTAAATTGATTGACATAAATTTAAAGTCTGGATGTTAGAAAAGAGGTTTTATAGAATGTCTTAAGCAAAAGATAAACTATAAGGGAAACCCACAACTTCAACAGCAAAAGTAAAAATCTACATGATCTGTTTTACTATGACTTTTGAAGGAGCATTTCTTCGTCTCTTTATTCAAACCAGTAAGAAAAGGAGAAGAAATAAAGTAAAATAAAATAATATTTGCATAACTTATTCTGGATTATAAGATTTTACATCTTCAGAGACTTTGTGACCAGTTATAGAAAATAAGATCCCTGGGAAAAGATCCAAGAACGTGTAATAATTTGGGCTGGAGCAAGGAAGGCTGAGGCATAATATAACAAGGTCTTCAGGCCTGTGAAAATTATTATGCAACAGAGACAACCGGCTCTTCTATTTGCACATGAACATGGAGCTTAAATTGGCAGAAGTTGCAACAGAAATAATTTGGGATGAAAATTGTAAGAATCAATAAGTTTCTGTTCTTAAGGTTTTTAAAAATTAGATGCTAGGATTCTACAAATGTCATAGCAGTATTTCATATGGAACATAGACACATACTTAAATTTTGTATTAACAATTTATGTAAACTTTGGCAATCAAGACTTTGAATTTGATCAGAAGTATAACCTTCAGGAAAACTATCACTATGAGCTATAATTGCTTAAATTGTGTTAACCACAGCATGTAGTTAGGTAAGCTGTTGGTTTATAAATAACCAGAAGATAAAAAAATAATGGCAAAAAGTAAATCCTGTGTCAAGTAAGGTCATTCTGTCCTTTACATTTAGCTAAAATTAGCTCAAGTTCCCTTCTCTGTGTTTTTTGGAAGGTCCATGACCTCCAATATTTCCAAGAATTTCCCAAGCTGAGGGCCCTGTGGCTTCAAGTTACTTTGAACTTGAAATTCTTTGTCTCACACTTGGGTCTCACATTGCAGTTTAAAAATAATAATAGTATTAATGAAATACAGTGTTACAAGGCATTGTATGAACAGTAGACTTTTACATCAAACCAAATTTTCATTCTTTTTAGAACAGCTTTGTAGGCACACTGGTGTTGTCAGACATAACGTTCTGTTAAGCCAGTGAGCCTTGACTATACTGAGTAGGGATGGTCTACAGAAAAGTGTAGCCAGTTTCTGTAATAAATCCTGGAAAAGTATATCAAGTCAATTCATAAAGCATGTCACCAACATAAAACCAAGAGCAAGTTTCCCCATGTCTTTCTTCTGTTGCAGACTGTCCAAATTGCAGAAAAAGGGACATCTGATAGAATTCAGAGGGAGAGTAATTAACTGAAGAACAGCATGCAGTTTTGAAGTAAATTGTGTCTGGTTCAAATCATAGTAGAGAACAGAGCTTTTTGTTCTTTCCTTCTGTGAACTTCAAGCTCAATGGTGTAAAAACTGTTCAAAAATGAAGTAGCTCAGTTGATGAATTAAGCTAAGAGATAAGTATGATCTTAAAATGATATACTACCTCAAGAAAGTCATTTTATCTTTCCCATTAGTAATGACAGTAAACAAAGAGCATTCCAACATTTCTTATTTGTAATAGTGTCTGTTTATTTTATTTTATCAAACGTAGGGCTTTTCTCCATTAGTCTTACTTAGCTTTCTTTGAGTTAAAAGTATAGCCCTATAAAAACGGATGAAATCATCTGCTCATTGACTTTCTACTCAGCAAACATTTTTTTATTTTCTTCAACTACAACTCTCATAATTTTCCTAGTCACCATTCTTCTCATCTATTTTTACATTCCTTAGTTAGCATGTCAGCCCAAAATGCCTCAACCCATCAGTTAAATTAGTTCTGTTTCTACAACAGCTCACAAAAGGGTTTACTGGTGAAACTCTTCCTCTAATCTAGCTTTTCTTGCTGCATGTACTATTCCTTTATTGACCTTAGTTTGGAGAGCTTTAAAATAATACGTATCAGCAAGGGTTGTATGCTTTCTAATCATATGTTTTCTCCTGCTAATCATTCAGTTACCTGATTAGAAACAGATGCAACCTATTTGAAATGTGAACTTCAGTGAACTGCTAGTAATGGTTGCATATTTTTTAGATACTCTATGTATACGTTATGAAATGCCCTAGAAGGTTTTCAATAATAAGCATTTGGATTATATTTTATAGCTGCAATGTTTTTCCTGCCAAATGAGCCATTCCAACCAAAACAAACTGACAAACAAAACAAAAAATAAGCAACAGCAACAAAGATTCAACCAGTATTGAAAGCCACAACACTTATAAGTAATCTGCAAACAAGAGTACTAGAACTGCAGTAATACAAATTTTAAAACAGACAAAGCCTCTGCTCTCGGTTTATGATATATTGAAAGAAGTAAACACATCAACCACTATTTATAACTTGAAGCAGAATATGATAATCACTTTCATTAAAGTACTTACAAAGTGTCATGTAAAAAAAGAAGAGAAAAAAATACTTTTGTCTAGGGAGAATCAGAGAGGGCTTGATGGGAAGTGTAGCGTTTGTGTTGGATCTTGAAGAAGGAGTAGGATTCCAATGGGCAGAGATGGAGAGAAATTCTAGGTTCCAGCCACAAGAGCATCAGCATCTACCTCTAAAAAATCCTCACGGTCCCTGCCAATTTGATCACCCCTAATTTTACCGACAAGAGGTTAAATTACTGATTTGAAAGAGGTTGATATTTTGTTGAAGTGATCCATATCAATCGCACAGTACAAATCAAAGGAACTTGAACTGAGCCATATTACAAACTACTTTTGTACAACTCCCAATATAAATATACTCAAATATTTGTTTAATCAGACTGCCAACGAACTAAAATTTTCTTAAAAGAAAAAAAAAATGTCCAGTGACCCTCTTCAAATCAGAACTGAATCTATGTGGGGTTTTTCTTTAACTTCTATAATTACAACAAAAAATCAAAGCAACCAGTATGTTCTCCAAATCAAATCTGAGCTAAACCAATATTGATTACATCTGGTTCATATCTGCGGTTATCAATAAAACACCAATTACATGACCAAAATTTGGAAACCAAATGCTAAATCTTACTAAACTGAGGTTTTTGCAACACCGATTTGACAATTTGGAGAGTTTTTAATTTAGAAAAATTCTCATCAAGGGCAAAACAAAGTACAAAGAGTTCCTGAGCTTAAATTCCTGATTCAATCTTTAAACTGTATTTTCCTTTGTTGCCAAATGATTCATTCGGACATTGCAAAGTAAATATGAAAACATCTGGGGGGATATTTTTGCTGGGGGTTACTTACTAATAAGAACAACCAGGTACCTCAAAATGTGCGGCTTCTTAATGAATAAATGCTTGTCAAGTGACTGCTGAGTTCATCTTAACACATGCTCTTTATACACACTGGCTCTCTCAGTACCATGAGAAGCAGAGAGGCAGGGATCTGATGACTAAATAGACCTTTTTATTCATTGCTTTGATCTACCACCAATTCTATTTAGTCATCTCTGCTCTGAAAACCAAATTCCTTTATAACTCTGAGGGCACATGATGGCTTGTTTTGGCACTAACTCTGCACAGCTAAAACTCTGGGCTACAGAAGCCAAAAGATTTAAGAGCCTCTCACCTCACAAACTTGAGTTTCAGGTCAGGGCAGTGACAACCTGTCAGAATCTCGTTTGTGGCACCCAAGCAAGCCAAGCGCATGGACAGCGGAAATGGCTAGAAAAATCCTCAGACCCTGTTCCTCTTGGCCATTAATTCCATTGATTATTTTGGTGTTTAAATACTGAGACAGGCCCTGGTGCCAGCCCAAATACAACTAGTCAACTTACATTTCCGTTGGCCTTTTAGAACATGCAGATGTACCAAAATCCTAAAACACAGCTGAGTTAAAAATTAAAAAAAAAAAAAAGAAGAAGAAGAAGAAAAAGAAGAAAGAAAAAAGAAAGCAGCAAGGGGGAAAAGTGTTCCAAACAAACGAAATGTTGATCTGCCTTTTATTAATTTCATTTTTTATCTTCTTGTGTACAGATTTTTGACAGCTGTGACATTCATGGGCAATGCATTTGAAAAAGAAGACATAAATATTCAGAGACATATTAGAATGCTGTTCAATGTAAGCACCTGTCTACTTAGTGTTGACAGAAAATCATTTACTTTGCTTTATGCATGTTCCCTCCAGAGACCACAGAGGTCCTATTTTATTTAAAGAGCTGGTCCTAACATCAGTGCTTGCTCTTGAAACTGCAGTATATGCAGCTAATTATATTTATTGAGGAAACAATTTTGTTTTATATTTTCAATAATACTTAAACAATTTTGTCAATCTTGACCTCAGAAATGATTTTCCCCAAGGATTCAGTTAACCAAAGACTTCATACAAGGCCTGAAACCAGTGTCCTTACACTACACTGTTGCCATTATCACCTAGGGAAGTTTTTGAAGCACAACTTTCAGAGAGAAGTGTGCGAGGTAAGACTGCAAGATCTCTGTGGGTCTAAGGAAAACATCACAGTCAATAAAATCCATGCTAGCATCCACATATATGCATTTATTATGTATTATAGTGATATAATCTGAGAAATTCATATTGCATAAAACAATACATCATTAAAAGCTACATGAATCATGAATTGTAAATTAAATGTATCAAATTTGGTGAAGTTTTTATTTCTTTTCTACTTGGTAAACCTTCGTTTCTTTTCCACCCTTGCCAAATCAGAAAGGTAATCTCAGGTCTTGAGTGAAAGGTGACCGCACATGGAGAAAAGGAAAGGAAAAGAGGGAGGGAGGGAGGGAGGGAAGGAAGGAAAGAAGGAAGGAAGGGAGGAAGGGAGGGAGGGAGAAGGAGAGGGAGAAAGGAAAGCAGAAAGGAAGAAAAAGAGGGAGCGAGGGAGGGAGAAAAGGAGGGAGGAAGAGAGGGAAGCCAACCTTTATAGGGACACTGAGATTACTGTGAGGTGACCTCGTTAGGTGATTTCTATATGGCCCCACGAAGCCGTCTAACTTGTTCCCAAGTGATTAAAATAGGCATGGCTAAGTTAAATAATTATTCCCCCAGAATAATTTCCTTTCTTTACTTGGTAAAACGCCTATCTTGAAAAAGTATGGTTTGCCATGGGTTGACGCCTGACTACTGAGAAAAATCCTTTAGCTGAATCTCAGGTCAGAATTAGAAATGTACCGTGTCATCAGAAATATAATGAAACACAAACGGGAGTGAACAAAGCCTAATTTTTTGACTACGACATTTCTCTCCATTTTAGTTTTACCTGACATGAGCGTATAGTGATGTTAGCTCCCCTGATGTGGCACGGGTGGATGAGGCTTGGGGGAAAGGCAAGCAGAGACCTGGGAGCTCACGACTTCCAAAACCTTACAATGCTGCCACCTACAGGCCGAAACTTCTAAAGCGGATTCCATCAATACTGTGTTTTCCTTCCCTTAACAATGAAAAAACACACAAGATTGTGGTAGAAGACCAAAGCCCCAAACCCAGAGTCCTGTAAAGAGTTAAGTCACCAGGTGATGTGAAAGAACAGGCCCTTTAGCTTAGCTAGTTCAGTGCCGTTACATAATTTAATTAGGATCATCACACGGCAACCGAAGCTGTCTAGAGGAATTATGAACCACAAGTTCAGATCACATGTGAATCCCTTTGCTCAATTAAAGCTAAGCAATTTTTAAGGTTTTTTTTCCCTCTTTGCAGTATATGCAAAGAGCAGTGAAGCGTGGCCTGCATATTTTTCACATTAAAATTATTACATAAAGCCTGTAGCATTTGAAATACTTATGGAAATCAAAACGTTACACTCTGACCTTGGGCATTTAAACTTCGTCATTTTTAAAGCTATTGTTGCCATGCTCTCCTTTGTTCTAAGAAAATTACTGTGGTTAGTTATAATAGCTGAATGAATAATTACTGGGGGAAGAAAAGAAATATGTAATAGTGTCGAAATGATTCTTGAGCCTACATTCTCCTAAACAGAGTTTTAATTCTGTTTTGAAGTCCCAGCATTGTGACTAAAGGCATTATCCTACTTCTCTCTTCTCTACTGTAACGGCCAGAAAAAGTGATCGCTTTCTTTCTCACTAGACTATTCAGTCTACTTACCTTTATGTCAGAAGAAACTCTGCTAAGAACTGGATGATGGAAAGAATTTCTGGAAGAGTCTGATTCTAGGTTGATCTATTTTTTACGCTGTAAGTACATGTAGCACCAAGCATATTAGGCAAATGTTCATTGTCAAGTTTTTTCTACACTTTTAAACTTCCCTTGGGCTTTTAGCTTTTTTTCTTATTAATTATATCAGAAAACAAGAAAAACGGCAATATTTTCTATTTTTAACTCTGTTTTTAAACTTATATAATCGGATACAGAATAATAATTTCAGTATTTTAAAATTATAGCATGGGATCATATTTGTTAATCATATGTATTAAAATTACATTTTCAAATCAAGCTACCAGAAATTTTTCAAACTAGTGGAAGCTTAGAGTTAATTTTTAAATGTTTAGTTGGAGGAATAAGTATTACCCTTAATAAAAGAGCATCCTAATAAAAATTGCAGTACAAAGATGCAAATAAATAAATGTCAGTGCTAGAAAATACATTACATTTAGTTGAGGATCTCTACAACTTGGAGTAGACTGATTGATTGATTATAAAATCCCCGGTATTTCCATATGTATTAAGACAATTGAAATTAGAATGGACAATGGAACTTCCAATAAATACTGTGGGAAATTCTTCACTAACTTATAGATGAAAGATAACAGGCAAAACTCATTTTACAGTATTATAGTCTACTTATTATTTGCAACAGAAAAAAAAATTCTGAATTTTAAGGGCACACACAAACATTATATTGGAGTCACATGTTACTTATTAGTTTCTTAGATGAGAGTTACACACAATGCAAAAATGATGCAATCTTTACTTTTTTAAAAATTTGAAAAAGTTAAATCTTCCTACTTTTGCAACCAGATATTTGCAGGATTAACAACTCCTTTAAACAATAGTTGGATTTAACCATAATCAGAATATAAATACAATAAGACATTCCTAAGGGGAATGCAATTTTTTTTAATTTCCATATTTGCTACAATAAATGTTATGCCTAGAAATTTTATAGCTAACAGAAACACAGAAAATACTATACCCAGAGCTAGAAAACTGTTCCAGTACAAAGCAAGTCTGATATATTACCTTCCAAATACACAGCATATCCCTGGTAAAGTTGTAAATTATGGTTGCAAATGAGGCCACAAACAAAATTTTGCTCAAGGCATGAATCATAAATTCAAACAATAATCATCTCCTACATGAGGCACAACTACTTTGTTTACTTCTTAGACACTGTTTCCTAAACATGAAGATGAAACTAGGTCAAGGAAATTTAGCATCTTTTTCTCATGAAGCATGCTATGATATTGGGTGGCACTGCCTTATTTAAAATCGCACAAACCTTTTAAATATTAAAAATCTATTTTAGAGTACTGAGTCCTTAAGCATTTTTACATTTTACCTCATGATGAGACGATATCATTAGAACTATAGCCATTAAATGAGGAAAAATAAATTATTTACATTAGTTACCACTGGAATTCTACTGTTTTTTATATCGAAAATAAAAGGATATTTAGCTAATGTTAAATGGTACTTTTAATCTATTCAGTTGATCTGATGGTTTGCTGTTGCTTGCACATATCTGGGGAGTCAAATGTTTTTCTCTTTCATATTTTTAGAATTTCTAAAAGCCTAATTCTACTAAGACTTTTTTAAGCGCTAAGCTTAAGAAGAATGGCCTTTAATTAAATCATTCAAATCATAGAAAGAATCATGATGTTAAATCACTGAAATGCAAGTTCTGAGAATTACCTCAGAAGAACATACAATTGTAAAATATTGTTTGGAATAAAAATTTGAACAATAACTTAGCAATTTTTATTTGTGGACAATAAGAATGAATAGCAGTATGTTCACTCATCTGTAAGGTCCTTTGGTGTCAAAAACATTCTGTTCTTTCAGCAATTAATATCAATAATAATAACAATCATGATGGTCACGTTGATTAAATGCTTACAATATACTAGGAACTGTGCTATGTATTTTATATGGATTAACGCATTTAATTTCACAATAACTCTTTAAAGCAGAGATCATATTTATATCAGTCTTACAGACTATGAAACTGAGGCTTGGAAAGAAAAGTGCCTTCTCAATGGTCACTCTGAGCCAGGCCCTGAGCAATCAGAGGTGGGCTGAAGGGCTATTTACTGAAGAAACCAATAATCTATTCATTAAAACTTTCTATCAGTATATAAACCAAGGGGGACAAATAAAATTTGATTTGTTACAAGCCTATTCAATTGAAATTAAACAATGTATGGGTACGCGTATGGAACTAATAAACTGGCACAGTGATCTACAAATGCAATCATTCAAAAAGTGTTTATTGATACTTAAGTACCACTCTCTGCTAGATGGTGTGAATTCAGTGCTTGGCAAAATGAAGGTATCTTTGCCCTCAATGAGCTTTTACAGTAGTGGGGAAAACCAAACAATTTTTAAAGTCTACAAATAAAATAATTAAAAAATCAAACTGAATAGAGAATAATGTAATTTGGGCAAGTGGTCTGAAGATGTTTCTGAATAGGTGACACTTAAACTAGGACCTTAAGGAATTGCCATCCTAGGACACAGTAATACCAGAGTTATTAAGAAATATTTTTAGGCAGCTAGATAGGGTAAAAGTTCTTGGCGGAAACCAACAGAAAGGCGGCTTAAAGAGCCAGGCTGGCAAGCTTTGATATGCAAATGCTGGCAATTAGAAACAGAGTCTACCCAATATGGCCATTCCCGCCTTCTCCTTGTCACCAGGTGTGCCAAGTGTCATGGCCACTTCCAGATAACACCATGTGCTCAGAACATCATGGCAACCTGCATTTGCATATTAAGGGGGTAAGGTAGGAGGGCCAGGTTTTTCACGGGCTACGTGAATGACACACCTGGTCAAACCAATCCCCTGGGCCCTGTGCACACATGGCATTCCTCTCTGTTCCAAGCCCTCCTCCCCCCTGCCTCTGTACAGAGGAGCTGTTTTCTTTTTTCTTTCTTCCTTCTTTCTTGCCCATTAAACTTTTCACTCCTTAAAACCACTTCATGTGTGTCCGTGTCATTAATCCCATCAGCGCGAGACCAAGGACCCTGGTGTTCCTCCAGTCATCGGAGTTGTATCAATAGGACGAGTATTCTAGTCTAAAGGAAACGCCATGTGCAAATGCCTTGAGGCTGGAGAAACCAAAGTGTAGCATTTACCAGAAACGTACATGGTAAGTTAATGGGTGCAAAATGCAGGCTCTTTGTTTTCACACCCACTCCCCATTTTTCCTTCACAGTCTATTACCTTCATCAATTTCTCTTGGCCTTCACACCAACATTCAGTCAATAACAGGTTTTAGTTCGGACATGTTATCCTGAATCTGTCCACTCGTTTCTATTCACCATCCTAGTCCAACTTATTACAATGTTTTGCCCGGACTACAGCTCTAGCTCCCTAACTGGACTGCCCGCTTCCAAATGGGCTTCTTCAATTCTCCTCACAGCAGCCAGAGTCATCTTTTGACAATGTGAAACAGTTCACAAAACTACCCTATATAAAGCCCTCTAATAGTTTATCTGTACTTCTTTCTGGTATCTGCAGGATGGGTTCCATCTTGTCTTTTGGATTTTCACTTAAATGCCACCTTCTAAATGAGTCCTTCCCTCATGGCTTAATCCCCAAGTGAAATCTACTCACTATAGCACATCATATACACTCCTTTTAACTCTCTGTGTATGGCATATCTGCATCTCCTGGACATAAGCTTTTTGAGGAGGAATCCACACTGTCTTAGTCACTGTGTCTCCATCACTTAGAACAGTGCCTAGCACATAGCAGACATTCAATTAAGCTGAAAGGATTGGAGTAGTACACAGAGGTCAAATCGTCTATGGATTTTTTGACCACTGTAAAAAGCTGGGAGCTTTATTCAAAATTTAATAGAAAACTTCTGGAAAATTCTGAGCAGGATCAGAAGATCATGCTGGTTATTGCTGTTTGAAGAGTGGATTGAAGAATAGCAAGAGCAGAAGCAAGACAGATTAGAAGACCAATTCAGAAATCCAAGTAAGAAACGGTTTTGGCTTGGAGTAGGGTGGCAGTATTGGCAATAGAGGAGAAACTGATGGACTTGTAATATAATTTCAATTTGCTGATGAATTAAATGTGAAAAGGAAGAAAAGTGAGAAATTAAGAATTATTTCTAGATTTTTTTTTTATTTATTTTTTTTTTGCCCGAGATGGTGGGGAGGGAGGAGTTAGTAGACCTGGAGGTAGGACAACAAATTCAAATTGGATGCATTTAATTACCCTGAGCCAGACCCTAAGTTTCTGGTAACACATTTAGGTCTGTTTCAGGTCTAGTATTTCTCCACTGAGGGGCAATTTAAATAAAGGTTGACCTGTGAACAGAAACAAATACCACTTTAGCAGATATCCTGCCTAGATTAGAAGGCACCACTATGAGATGCAAATAACAGCCCATGAATGAGGATGAACATTTAATTCTTCCTTTTCTTATTCTGGTTTTCTAAAGAAGCCAAAAACAATTTTGTTAGGAATTTCCAGCCCTAAATGTAAGAAAGAACTCATGGATTGATAAGGCTTTCACTGCATTTAATTAAAAGAAGATTATGCTGCAGCTTTTTACTCTTCCATTTCTACTTCACAGTTCCTGTGCACCAGGGGTATGTGGGACAGAGAGGAGGAGTAGAGCTCAGCTGATGTCACTAGCAGCTGTGTGTTAGTCACTGTTGCTGAGGAGGACCTGAGGGTATGAACCATGGTACTGGAGCTGGAGGAGGAAGCCTGTGTGGGAGTGGGAGAATGACAGTGATTGTGGAAAAACTGTGGTTAGAAGAACAAAGCAGGAGAATGGAAAGCACCTTGGGAGTCTCTTGGCTCTAAGATGAAATGAAATGATGCCACAGTTGACTTGAAGATTGATCCTCTACTAGATATCAAATTATTTGAAAATTAAAATCACTTTTCAGTGGTATTTTATCTTTATGACAAAGGTAGCCATTATATTCATCTTCATTCTTCTGCTAATATTGTTTACGAAACAAGAATCTATCAGCTCTAATTCTAAATTTGTTAATGTCTAGTAAGCAAAGATTTAGAATACCTAGCAAAGATTAAGAATGCAACTAAATGACAACAAAGACATTACTTTGGATGTAAATCGTTCTTAACATTCTTGCATAAAAAATAAAATAACCATTTGTTGATAATTTCTCAGGTAAAATAGAATACCATAGTCAATGTTATACTTGACATAGATGATTATGAGAATTGAATGATTAATGTTTCCAATTATAATATAATGTTGTAAAAAAAGGAGAGACCGCCAACATTAATGTAATTGTTGTGAACATAACTGAATTTCAATAGTAACTTTAATACATAGCCAAATGAAACACGGACAAAGGAAAAGCACACATTAATGTAAAAATCAACAAAATAAACTAGAAATTTCATTTACAACATTTCTATATTTTTTAATTAAGAAATGTGACCAAGGATGTCCACTTCCTGCTCACTCCAGATGGTTTAAAGTACCTGAGTCCAGGTGTAAAGCACAGGGACAGGAGCTTCTCTTCTTCCACACTACTGGGCCCACTGGGCCCATTAGGGATTCTAAGTCTCCTGGGACACAAACAAGTGTATTCCTCAAGGGTCCAAAGATATGGCAAGCATAGATTCAGCCCCTAAATGGTACTCATTCCCTCTTTGTAATGACTGTGCAGTAATGCTAGTAGGACAAATCCTCTCTGGCCTCCATTTTGGGGCAGATTCTGGTTCTCTGGTCTACACAGCTCCTGAGTACTTGAGTGTTTAGCCTCATATCAGTTCTTCTCCCAGGTTACTAGCCACAGTGCCTTTTGACCATAGGCTGCCTGGTGAATAATGTTCAGGAATGGAGGACTCATGTCCAAACCTCCTGCCCCCACTCTCCCTGTTCCTTCTCAAGTTTCCTCTCTTTATTTCCACCTTCTCTACCCTTTGTCTTTCATCCAGAAAAGCCTTCCTCCTACTTATTTTCTCCCCATGGAACTTAATATCCCATCTGTAAGAGACTGTCAGCAAGGACCCCAGCATTCAGCAACATGTAACGTATTTGCCCTCTCTGCAGTAGTGAGCCAAATCCCCAATCTGCGACCACCTTTCCCTGGAGAGAGAGGAAAGGTTTTTATTCCTACTGCTGTCTCAGTCATTTTTAGAATGAATGAAGATGGCTTGTGAAAAGATGACATTAAACAAGTAAACATATACACAGAGGGACATATGTTCTCATACCTGATTATGAACACTGGCATTTAAACAATTCCTTTTGGTCAAGTGACTTCTTAAATCTTTAGATCTTATTTCTTCTCTCTCCTGTAAAATGGCAAAGAGTGACTCCCTTGATAGCAATGCCTTCAAGCATCAGGAGATTCTCAGAAAAGTGTCTCATTAACCTGGAGAAAGGTGTGATTTTCACCCTAAACCAAAGAAAATAAAAAATAGGCTCTACCAATATTAACCTGACTCATTTTTCACATAGCAAAAATAGTATATAGAGTGTTCTAGGATTCCTAGTGTCCTTCAACCCCTTCAAGAAAGGAGACATGATTTCTAATGATGTATTCTCTCTTAAAACACAATAAAATGAAGTGGTTCCTGTTCTGCACCTCAGGTAAATATATGTGTTTATTTATAATGAAGCCATTTAGGCATAGATAAAGCTGAAGAATGGAGATATACCTGAATAACTGAATATAACTCCACATGGTTGTAAAGTCCACCAGACCCTCCTAATAGAAGAAATGCTATCTGCCACCTACCCATTTGAATATATTTGAAGAGATCTTGCCATAACTTGTTAATGTTAAAGCACGTTATGTTGAACTAGATTTTAATGTAATTTAGATATCATTTATATTAAATACAGCTCTCTCTTGCTTTTGAAAATGTATACTAAACTCATACTTCAAAACTGACTGAGACCTCATCTGCTGAGTTTCAGCCTGGATCAAATTTTTTATAAGCTAATTGTAAACCCCTAAATGTGGAGAGTAGTGATGAAAAGTGTCAGCCAAAAAAAAATGATAATAATATATTCAATAAATCTTTTTTCTAGTTTTACCCAAACTACACATGAAAAACGTAAGCATATAAATTCATACCATGTGTAAATATAATGGCAGAGTAAAATCCAGTAGGAAATACACATCAGAAGCTGTGGCCTGAAGTACACAGGTATGGTAAGCATATAAAGTGCTATTCCTCTGCCTCTCATAATTTCATTGATGTGTGCCATCCAGTCTTGCTAATATTTGGCACTCTTTTTTTAGTAGGCTATGAAACAGTCCTGTGAGCTGTGTTAGTACTATTCCTATTTTACAAAGGAGACACTGAGGGAAAGGATGGCCCCACAGCTAGTCAAAGTAAGTAAGAGAGTCCGTACTCTTGATTTCACTGCTCTGCACATCAAGAGTCAGAAAACCATGGAGTTCACAGTCACAAAGGAGCCAAAAGCCATCAAGCTACCCAAAAGATTGGCTTCTGGACTCAAGAGAAAATGCTGACATAGATAAAATATGATTCTAGCAGGCTCTTTTTTTTTTTTAGAAAAATCCATCAATAACAAGTTCATGTGGTTTTCCTCCCCTTATGTTTGTTCCCTTTCTCTCCTGCACTGTATTGAAGGACCATGGCCACAAGTATGAACTGGTTGGCAAGGCTACATATATATCTGAATTAGATGTGTGTATAACTTACAATGCCTATGAAAACAATCCTTTGTATCCTTAGGCCAGTTTCAAGATAACAGTCTCATGCACCAGAAGTCAATTGATTTGTGATTAAAAAATAAACAAAGAATGTGACAGTCATCGAATAAATGAGTACTGATTGACTAAAAAGAAAGAAGTAGTGAAGGAATGGAGGAAATAGAAGAGCTAGCACAGCCTCCTAAAAAGTTTGGCTAAACTCTTAGAGACAACATACCGTTTTTTATAAGTCAGACTTACAGGAAAGGTGGAACATATACACCATTAAATACCATGCAGCCATAAAAAGAATGAGATCATGTTCTTATAGAAAATGTGGAACATATACACCGTGGAATACTACGCAGCCATAAAAAAGAATGAGATCATGTTCTTGCAGAAAATATGGAACATATACACCACGGAATACTAGGCAGCCATAAAAAAGAATGAGATCATGTTCTTTGCAGGAACATGGATGGAGCTGCAGGCTATTATCCTTGTCAAACTAATGCAGGAACAGAAAACTAAATACCACATGTTCTCACTTACAAGTTGGAGCTAAATTATGAGAACACATGGACACATAGAGGGGAACAACAGACACTGGGACCTACTGGAGGGCAGAGGGCGAGTGGAGAGGATCAAGAAAAATAACTAATGGCTGCTAGGCTTAATACCTGGATAGCAAAATAATCTGTACAACAAACCCCCATGACACAAGTTTACCTATATAACAAACCTGCAAATGTATGCTGAACTTAAAATAGAAGTTAAAAAAAAAGAAGTATAAAGCATTACTCTTATTCAGAAGAGGCATACAATGACATCAACAGAAAAAAATACAAAAACCCCTGCTGTTGGTGACAAAATAAACTCAAAATGTTCCAAAGCAATAAAATCAAGAATGAAAGAAAAAAGGTAAATAGTGAATTCTCATAATGTGATAGCAAAATTGAAAAAGCAAGGATTTGGAGTCATATGATCAGGGCTAAATCACTCAGTGGCCAAATGAGCTCAAGAAAGTTCTAAAATTCATAAATTCTTACTTTTTTCATAGGCAAAATAACACACCAGCAATCTTTGCCACAGATGTCATTTATGTGGATTAAGTTAGTTATTATAATCCAAAATGAGGTCCAGTGGAAACCTCATCAGGAAAGCCTTGTGACTAAAGTGTTAAGTCTAAATGCTAATAGTTTATCTTAAAGATGTTTCCTTATCTATATCCTGTCACCACAGAACCCAGGAAATTTGAGATGGTGACTGGACAGAAAGATCTCAAGCCATGTTGAAATAGGATTGAGTAACTGAAATAATTTACAAAGTCAAGGAAATTAAAGAAGAAAACAACTAGTTACTTACCTAGACTTTTAAAATACCTCTAAATGTACAGAAGTATTGCAAGCAAGAATTCATTCTAATTCTTGTCAACCCACAGTAACAGCAAGGCCTTTATGTGGAGTAGTACTAAGGCAAAGCTTGACAGTTTATCTTGTCATTCCAACAATCAGCAATGTTCATTGAACATCTGTATGCCTTCCCAATGCCATGATACTACAAAGTGCTCTAAAATTTTTTCACTTAACACATATCACATTTTTTCTCCTTACCCTCCTCCAATTTAACTGATCTCTTTGCCCCCTAACAGTCTGAGGTGTGGAGGCCTGGCTCATATAAGAGCTCACAACTGCTGGTTCTGTAATCTCCAGGGTTGCTGCAGTAGCAACGTTTACATTTTCATTACTGACACTTCCCAATGAGATAATATCACTTCATACACTGTAGACCCTCTGAGTCTTCCAGATGCTTGGCATCTGATCCACATAGGCCTGTTATCATTATACAGTTTCCCTTCACTCTTCTTGCACTGAGTAGCTTGCCAGGCCAAAGATTCACCTTACTTTGACTTGTGACCCACTTCTTTAGCATTTCCCTTTGGCAGCAAGATTTCAGAGGGAGTCTCAATATTAGAACGCCTGGGTGCTTTCAGTTCCATCTGTTTTATTCTTTATGAAACCATTAGAATTTGGCTGAGAGGACTGACAGCAGGTAAGCACTGAGTTTCTACAAGAGTAGCTCAGCATGACACTTTTTCCTAAAGTGCAATGGAGTGCATCCTGTAACAGAAAACTTAGCCACCATCAACGATCTTTTAGTTTTATAATTTGGTGTTCCCACATTATCTCTTCTAGGATTTCTCCCTCTAGTCTTGACACTTCCTTCAGACAAACTCTAAAAATTGAATGGGAGGATCTTGGGTAGGAAGAGCTGGGGAGAAAGTGTCAAGAACCCTATACAAGGAAATGAAAATAAAAAAGCATCTGCAGTCTGTATTGGATACAGATGTATGCAATGCAGAGACTCTGTCCTGTAAAATTGCCAAGAATGCACCAGCTGCATATGGCTTCCTAGTAGGATGGAGAATAGAGATGAGATCATCTAATAAGCACTCTTTTACTATTGGAAACAGAGTTATAAATTGAGATATTGTCCTGGATCTATCTGACACCTCAAAAATTAATGAGCAACCACCATGGGAAGGGGATTGGGCTAGGGTTTGGGACCATGTTTCTTCTACCTGCCCCTCTTTTCCTACCCATGCTCACAATCATGGATCATTAATTCTCAGCTGGATTCTCAAGATAGTTTTCTAATAGATCTCTCCTCTTCCAAAGCAGCTTTTATACTACTGTGGGATTGATTTTTCTAAAATATAACTTTGATCATTTCATTCATCTGATCAAAAGCCTTCAGTGGTTCTCCGCTGTATACTCAATTCAGTCCAGTGGTCTCAGGCTAGCAGTTAAGACCCTTTACAAAATGGCCCTTTTCTACCTGTCTTTCCCCTCTGGGCACTCTGGTCTAGCCTCTGATTGTAGCCCACAAAGTCAGCAATTTTATGGAATCTTCAAGGTAAGCAAGGGCGAAGCAGCCAAGTGTGGTAAGGCATCCTGGGAGTTTCCTCCATGCTTGGGAACTGATGGGATACAGGAGTATCCCTGTTGGAAGGGAAGCTGGTGATAGCCAGTAAAGTATGCAAGAATTATGAAGCTAGGAAAGAGCTTCCAACCTACAGACAGTGGAAATATTACATATTTCATACACATCACTCAACCAGATAGTTCTCACAAGATGCTACTCTCAAAAGAATAGAGCTCACACCCATGTAAAGCTAGTGATCCCTCATGTTTGTATAGGAGGACCTTGTGGTAACAGCAATTGGGCCCAGCTTTTCTTCTCTCCCTCCCTTCCGCTGACCTATGGACTGACTGCTTGAGCCATCACTTTCTCCTCCCTAATTGGAAAGTATTCTTTTGTTTTTTAAATAACAGCTCCATGCTACATGAGAAGACAACCTACTGCTTTAAATATCATCACCCCACTCTGACTAGCTGATATGGTTTGGCTGTGTTCCCACCCAAATCTCATCTTGAATTGTAGCTCCCATAATTGCTTCATGTTGTGGGAGGGACCCAGTGGGAGATAATTGTATCATGGGGGTGGTTTCCTTCATGCTTTTCTAGTGGTAGTGAATAAGTCTCACAAGATCAGATGGTTTTATAAGGGGAAACCTCTTTCACTTGGCTCTCACTCTTGTCTACCACCATGTGAGAAGTGTCTTTTGCCTTCTGCCATGATTGCGAGGCCTTTCCAGCCACACGGTACTGTAAATCCATTCCATTAAACCTCTTTCTTTTGTAAATTGCCCAGTCTCAGGCATGTCTTTATCAGCACCATGAAAATTGACTAATACACTAGCATTCTGTGTGACTGTGTGCCTTAGAAGTGCATGAAAGGGGCCAGGCGCGGTGGCTCACGCCTGTAATACCAGCACTTTGGCAGGCCGAGGCTGGTGGATCACGAGGTCAGGAGATCGAGGGAGATCATCCTGGCTAACATGGTGAAACCCCGTCTCTATTAAAAATACAAAAAATTAGCCGGGCGTGGTGGCAGGCGCCTGTAGTCCCAGCTACTCGGGAGGCTGAGGCAGGATAATGGTGTGAACCCGGGAGGCAGAGCTTGCAGTGAGCCGAAATCGCGCCACTGCACTCCAGCCTGGGCAACAGAGCGAGACTCCGCCGCAAAAAAAAAAAAAAAAAAAAAAGAGAGAGAGAAAAAGAGAAAAAAGAAAAAGAAGAAAAAAAAAGTGCATGAAAGGGGAACACTGAGAGCACTCGGTCCCCACCTCCCTTGTTTAGACTTCCCCACTCCATTTCCCGTGAAATGCGGCACAAGGCAATTAGGTCTGCAACTCTCACTTCTAGTCAATACTATATTGGAGGTCTAAGACAGTGAAAACAGGAAAGAACAAACAACCAAAAAGTTTATAAAAATTGAAAGAAATAAAGCTCTTTATTTGTTGATGAAATGACTTTGGTTAAATAATCTACATACACTCCTAGAATTAAAATCTTAGCCAAGTCACAAGATACAAGGGCAATGTACAAAATTAATTATATATCAGCAAAAACAATTAAAAATAAAAATGTTTAAAACCATGTAAAATATCATCAGAAACATTTAATACCAAGGAATAAATGTAACAAAATGTTGTGTGAGCTGTCTACACAGAAAATTATAAAATAATACTGAGACCTCAACAATGGAGGAATATATAATGGTTGTGAATTGGAAGACTCAATGCTCTAAAGATCTTTTTTCTTTCTTTTTCTTACTTTTTTTTCGTTGTTGTTGTTGTTGAGACAGGGCCTTTTTTTGTCACCCAGGCTGGAATGCGGTAGCACAATCATGACTCATTGCAGCCTCAAACTCCCTGACTCAAGCAATCTTTCCACCTCCGCCTCCTGAGTAGCTGGGCCCACAGATGCACACCACCATGCCTGGCTAATTATTTTATTTTACTTTTGTAGAGATGGTGCCTCCTTACATTGCCCAAGCTGGTCTCAAGCAATCCTACTTCCTCAGCCTTCCAAAGTGCTGGGTTTTCAGGTGTGATCCACTGTGCCCAGCTCTCTAAAGATCTTAATTCTTCTCAAATTGATTTATAGGGTCAATCAGAATCACATCAGATGAGGTATTCTTGGTGGTGGTGGTGATGGTGGTGTTTTGCAGAGGAGAATGGTGTATGTGTGTTAACAAAATAACAAACTAATTCTAAAAATGTGTATGAACATGCAAGGGGTCAAAAATATCCAAGAAAGTCTTAAAGAACTAAGCTGAAGGATTTATACTATGAGATATGTAAATTTATCATAAAGCTATCGCATTAAGACAGTGTTATTGGCACAATAACCAAAAACACCAATGGACAAAAGCAACCAGAAACAGATCCATGCATATATAGACATCTGCTTTATGACAAAGGTGGCACTGAAGTGTGGTGAGAAAAAAAAGTGGTCTCAGAGTCTAATGGAAATCCATTCAGAAAAAAAAAAAAGCTAATCTTGATCTCATATTATACACTAAAATCAATTGAAGGTGGATTGTAGCTCTAAATCTAAAAGAAAAACCAATTAAGCCTCTAGAAGATAGCACAGGAAATAACATCATGAGATTGGAGGAGGATAAACATTTCTTAAACAGGACACAAAGAGCACTATCATAAAGGAAATGATTGATGACTTGGAAGACATTACAATTAGAAACTTCTTTTCATTAAAGACACCATTTAAGGAGAGAAAAGGCAAGCCACAGAGTGGGAGTAAATAATTCATAATATGCATACCCAATAAATGACTCATATCCAAAATATATAAAGAATTCCTATAAATCAATTTTTTAAAACCAAGATAACTCAGTAGTAAAAATAGAAAGAGATTTGAATAGGCTCTTCACAAGAGGATATCCAAAATACAAAATGACCATATGAAAAGGTGTTCATCCTCATTAGTAATCAGGGAGAGGCAAAGTCGAATCACAATATACCACGACATACCCACCCAAAATTGCTGAAATTAGAAACCCTGACAATGCCAAGAATTGACAAGGATATGGAGCAACTGGAGCTTTCCTATGCTTTTACTGGGATGTAAATTGGTACAATTGCTTCAGAAAACTAGCAGGATCTACTAAAGCTAGACATATACAAATCCTAAGACCTAGACATTCCACCTAAAAAACAATTATATATGTGTGTATCACAAGATATATACATGGCAGATCCTTAAAAATCTAAACATAGAATTACCGTACGACCTAGCAATTCCACTCCAAGAGAAATGAAAACATATATGTCCACATAGAAATTTGTTCGCAATGTTTATGTCAGCATTATACAAAAGGTAGGAACAGCCAAAAGGTGGAAAAAACCCAAATGCCCATAGATGAATGAAAGAACAAATTAAGGTATATCTATACAATAGTATATTATTCAGTCATTTAAAATAAATGAAATACACATACTACAACTTGGGGGAACCTTGAATCCATTATGCTCAGTGAAAGAAACCAGACACAAAGGTCACATATTGTATGATTCATTTTATACGCTGTGTTCAGAATAGGCAAATCCATACAGACAAAAAACAAATTGATGGTTACCATGGGGCAGGGGCAGGGGAAATGAGGAATGATTACTTCATGGGTATGGGGTACTTTTCTGGGGTTATGAAAAAGTTCTGAAAGTAGAGACAGGTGGTGGTTTCACAACATCGTGGATATAGTCAGTGCCACTGAATTGGTATACTTTAAAATAGTTAATTTAATGTTATATGAATTTCACTTCAAGTAATTAAAAAAGGAGAACTAAAAAATGGCCCTTTTCTCTCTTTAATTTCGTCTTCTCCAGAAAAGGTATCCCTGTTTTATATGGGGAGTCCTTACTGTGCATGATACTGGCACAAACTTCAGTTACCACAGTTAAGTCAGATTACACCAGTCCTCCCCAAAATGGCTCAATTTTAGTTATCACAGTGTATTAACTGTGAATAACTGTGTAAAGAACAAGCTTCACAACTAGTGCGTTAGTCCACAAATCACTATGTAAATAACAGATATGCATCGTAATCAGTGACCAATTGCATCACTTCTGAAAGTCTGCCAGTGACTGGTCACTGTACTTCTGTTATTCAGTTCCTGCCCAGACAGTGAATATAGGTGGGTTGCCTTACAGTCTCCCAGTGATAAATCTATATGATGTTTTATAAAACTGGAACACTGAAAGAAAGAATTGGCCAATAAAGATGAAAATAAGGAAATGAAAAGTGATAACATCAAAGTGAAATTCTGATCTAATGTAAATGGAGTTATGAAAGAAATAGTTGACCATGAGATTGTTAGCACAGTGTCTTAATCAGATGGGGCTACTATAACAGAATACCATAGACTGGATGGCTTCGAAACAACAGAAATTTATTTCTCACAGTTCTGGAGGCTGAAAGTCTTAGATCAGGGTGCAAGCATGGTCAGGTTCTGATGAGAGTCCTCTTCCAGGCTGCAGATGGCTGACTTCTCATGTCCTCATTGGCAGAAAGAGGGTGAGGGAGCTCTCTAGGGTGCCTTTCATACGGGAACTAATCCCATTCATGAGGACTACACCCTCAGGACCTAATTACTTTCCAGAGGCCCCACCTCTTAATACCATCACACTTGGGGCCAGGATGTCAAGATCTGAATTTGGGGGTTGCAGGTGACACAAACAATATGGCTCCCTTTTGAGAGACTCAGGATAAACCACCAGAAGAACTTAGTGAAGATGAAGTTATCAGCATAGATGAAGAAGCAGTTTTGATGAAAAAGGATGACGATATTCCAGAGGCAGTGATGCCAGCAAACAACTTCACATTAAAGAAACTCTCAGAGATATTTTATGACATTGAAAGCTCAAAGGATAAAATGTCGGAAGCTGATTAAAACTTAGAAAGCAGTATGACAATATGCCAATGCATAGAAAAAATGCTCACTTCCCCATGTAAATTATACAACAAACACTGTTAGAACTACTCTTGTAAGTTTTTACCAAAAAAAAAAAAAAATTGTTGTGCAGTTGACCCTTGAACATTTGTGGATTAAAAGTGGTAACCCCCTAAAATTCCCATATAACTTTTGACTCCCCCAAAACTTAATTGCTAATAGCCTACTGCTGACTAGAAGCCTAATTGATAATATAAACAGTCAATGAACACATATTTTGTATGTTATATATAATTATATACTATATTCTTACAATAAAGTAAGCTAGAGAAAAAATGTTATGAAGAAAATTGTAAGAAAGATATATAATATATATGCTGAGGAGGAGAAGGAAGAGGAAGGACTGGTTTTGCTGTCTCAAGCCTGGCAGAGGTAGGAAAAAATCCACATGTAAGTGGACTCACGCAGATCAAACCTATGTTGTTCAAGGGTCAGCTGTACTTTAATTCTTAATGTTTCTCATGTATACTAAATTATTTTTTTCATTTACTTATATATTTATAATTGACAGTAAGACAGTTGTTATCCTTCTGACAAAAGAATTTAAAGTCACCGGGCCGGGCGCGGTGGCTCACGCCTGTAATCCCAGCACTCTGGGAGGCCGAGACGGGCGGATCAGAGGTCAGGAGATGGAGACCATCCTGGCTAACACGGTGAAACCCCATCTCTACTAAAAATACAAAAAATTAGCCGGGCGTGGTGGCGGGCGCCTGTAGTTCCAGCTACTCAGGAGGCTGAGGCAGGAGAATGGCGTGAACCCGGGAGGCGGAGCTTGCAGTGAGCCGAGATCGCGCCACTGCACTCCAGCCTGGGCGACAGAGCGAGACTCCGTCTCAAAAAAGAAAGAAAGAAAGAAAGAAAGAAGTTTAAAGTCACCGAACAATTATGATTTTTCCCATTGATTATTAAGCCCACTTTGCATGGTTTCAATGCCAATTCTGTGATCCCACCTCTCTATCCAAAGCTACAACAGCCTGTACTCTATTTTCTATAGTCCATATTTCAGTCTAAATACTCACTATACCACCAATTTAAAATATTTGTATATCTCTTAGCAATATTTCTGACATATACTATTAGCTAACTTTTTTCCACCATTCCTTCCTGGCTTAGTGACTTTGATCATGATATTTTTATACTCCGTAACTTCTTCTCCTTACAATTTAAATGTACGCTCCTTCATTAAGACATTTCCTGATTTTCTGCTCACTAAATTAAAGTGATCGCTTTCTCCCTCCTTTGAAACCTCTCCCTACTATAGTAAAAAATACTATCTGATTAGCAACGATCACCTCTTACCATACTGCTAAACACATACATATAACAAAAAGGACAAAATGGACTAAGAGAGAAAAAACGAGAACTTCTCTTCTGTTTTTCATAAATATAAAAATCCTAAAGCAGAACTTATCTATTAAACAGATTAAAGCTTTTCATTTAGGTATTTATAGAACACTGAATACTTCTAAAACGTCTATGTTAAGAACAAAGTCCATATGAGTTTTATTCCTCAAGGATGTGAGAAAAAGACAACATTGTACATGTAAGTATTTTAGCAGTCACTCCGACAACCTCCCAATTGCTGTGTTCAATTGCACTTTTATACACTGCCCTTGAATAAATAGTTGCTTGGCTCTGAAATTTCTTGAACTGACAGCTCTTTGTTGAAGACCTCACAAGGCTTTAATAAAGATAGCTAAAAAGCAATTGATTTTCCCCTGGTTGAACTATGTATTCAAAAGATTCGTAAACAATATCTACCATGCTCTCCCTTAAGAATGCAACCTTTGATTTGTTCTTTGAAGAAAAAAAAAATACACATAAGTCAATATTTGTTTTCTTTTTATAATAACCATATACAGTGTTTCCTGGGACAGTAGTACAATATTGCTACTGTTGTTTGGGAGTAGGAAAAATAGTTTTCTGCTCACATTCTCCTTCTATGTGATTTACATGAAATTAGTTCTAGCTAATATCAACTTCTGTCCACCTCACATACAACATACTACGTTACATTGCCAGGTGCCCTACATCTAATGACACCCCATCTATGGTGGTGGACATTGCAGCAGCCACTGTATTTATAACCCCATACTCTTGGCCATAGTTGATAATTAGACCAGGAGTGTGCACCTTCCTCAATCTCAAACAAACAAAATCCCTTCTCTTGGAAATTGGATTTTGAACTGAAAGGTAGTCCTTTTTGGGGTGTCTGGATCTGTGAGATGTAGGCTTAGAAATATGGAAAGGAAATTTCCCTTTGTCATGCAGGGGAAAAAAATCAGTTTTCAGAGAGAGAGAAAAAAGTAGCTTTCCTGGTTTCAAATCCTTTCTAAGCCCAAGTTTCTTCATATTACTGGGTTCCTATTAGACATCCCTTTATTCTTATAATGAATTCCCCTTGCCTACTTAAGCTTATTAGAGTTGTGTTCTGTTACCTGCTACTATGACAGCAAAAACAAGGAATATTCTAATGCAGCTGTTTAGAGAGTTCATCTCTGAAATAAGAATAATGATGACATTATTATTACAAATCTCAACAGCAGACAAACAGAAAAATGAATACCCTTTTTTTTTTTTTTGAGATGGAGTCTCGCTGTATTGCCCAGGCGGGAGTGTAGTGGCGCGATCTTGGTTCACTGTAATCTCCGCCTCCCGGGTTCACGCCATTCTCCTGTCTCAGCCTCCCGAGTAGCTGGAACTACAGGCGCCCGCCACCGCGCCCGGCTAATTTTTTTGTATTTTTAGTAGAGACAGGGTTTCACTGTGTTAGCCAGGATGGTCTTGATCTCCTGACCTCGTGATCCGCCCGCCTCAGCCTCCCAGAGTGCTGGGATTACAGGCGTGAGCCACCACTCCCAGCCTGAGTACCTTTTTAAAGTTAGAATAAACTGTTAATTATTTGTACATAAAAAATGTGCAAGCTCTTCCCAAAAAGGCTTTGTCACCTGTCCTAAGCTTGCTATGTAGGTCTATACCGCTAATTTGCTACAGGCAAATTGATCTGCAACTCTCTAAAAGCGCATCAGCCTTTCATATAACAATCAAGCCTTTTAGACCTGCAAGTAACTATCTAAGGAGGGTATGTGGTCTCAAACACTCTAGTACATCTTTTATCTGAGACACTCTCGTAAATGCATAACAATTGCAACATCTTAACAGAGTCTGTATTGGTTTCCCTGGTGCCACAAAGTCCTTACTAGAGACTATGTCTCTAATCTGACCACTGACCATAATGGTGCTTGTTTGCTTCCTGTCTAATATTATTTACCTTTAGAAATGTTCTGTTATTGATGTTTTTGAAAGTTCAGATTTTCTAAAATGGACTTGGTATTCTCTCCCAGAGGATTTTTTTCTCCATTCAATTTCTTGTGGGTTTTTAACCTCATTCTCATCACTAAACAGCATACAGGAACAGAGCAACAAAACTAACTATAAATTTGAGGAGCTGGGTAAATGGAACCAAAATACAGGGATAGCAGGGAGCCAGTTTCCTAAGTTTAGCAGACAATCCAGCCAATTCTTAAATGTGCCCTCAGCCCATTCTTAATTTATTAAAAATAACATGATTATACAATCAAGACTCAGAATAAAGAGTAATTTCTCCTTTTCTAGAAACACACATAGTAAGGTTTTTTTTCCCAGTATTTGTACTTATTCCTGAAAAAATTTTTGGATATTATCAGATGTTGTAAGAGATATTTAGCCTACAAATTTTTACTGGTCCCAACAACATAGTTCAATCTAACACTTTAAATAATCAATCAATTAGCTAATCATTTCTTAATGGCCTAGAAAACAATTAGCAAAGTAATTAATTTACTATTCTACTGCCAAAGTTAATAATTGCTTGCTTTTAATTATGATGTATTCTGTTTTGTTCTAAAGGCTCTGTCTCTACTGTAGATTAAAATGTATTTGATTTTTATAAATATGTTTAAATGAAATAGAACATTTCACAGCAGGAATATGGGCTCAGGTAATCTTTTCAAAACTGACATTTGATTTCAAAAAAACAGTATTATTTAAATAAAAAATTACAAAACAAAGCAAAAAGAATGAGAATAAATGTTTTTAAAGTAATTTTCTTACTAATAGTTATTAATACACAATTTATAATGTTGACTGTCATTTCTAATTCTACTTATCAATTACCAGTGTAATTATATTTTGAGTTTAGCTTTGATACTAACTGCAACAGCATGGTAAAAATTTTGAATAAGAAAAAGTTGAATGAATACAAGCATGGGCACATAAGCTAAACTAAATTCAACTTCATCATCCCATATAGAAAATGTAGCTTTAATAAAAGAATATTTAGTATATAACACTTAAAGTTATAAGAAAACATGTTGAATATGAATTACTAATTAACAAGTTATAAAAACATATATTTTAGCTGCTGTGTAATGCAGCGTGAAAGCTCCTCAAAAAGTTAAACATAGAGTTACCACATGATTATACTTCTAGGTGTAATTAAACTTCAAGGTACATACCCAAGAGAATTGATAACTGGCATTCAAACAAACACTTGTACATGAATGTTCATAGCAGTATTATTCACAGTAGCCGAAAAGTGGGAAAAACCCAAATGTCCATCAACTGACGAATGAATAAATCCAGTGTGATGTACCCATACAATGGAATATTATTTAGCCATAAAAAGAATGAAATACTGATACATGCTACAGCATGGATGAACCTTTAAAATGTTATGTTAAACGAAAGAAGCTGGACACAAAAGGCCACATTTACTATGATTCCATTTACATGAATTGTCCAGAATAGGCAAATCCATAGAGACAGGAAATAGACTAGTGTTTGCCAGGGGCTGGGAAGAGGGGACAATAGGGATTGACTGTTAATGGGTATAGCGTTTTTTAGAGAGATAATGAATATGTTTTAGAATTCGGTAGTGATAATGGTTACATACCTGTGTGAATATCCTAAAAACAACTGAACTGTACACTTCTAAAGCGGGAATTTTATGGTCTGTGAATTATATCTCAACTTAAAAATCATATGAGAATAAAGTTTTTTCAGACAAGGAAAATTTGGATAGAACATCACCAATGCACATGATAATAGATAACTTGATTCTGTGCATCATATTTTATCAAAAAATGGCCTGAATGCAATGAATAATCTGTGCATATAGAAGCATCCCCTCACAGATATTCACCATGCATAAATAATACTTCCAGGGAAAAGTGGGAGCCACATTTTAAAGCACTGGGAGGAATCCAGAGAAAGAGAATGCCACACTGGGCTTCAAGTAGGCACAGAAAAAAATAGTATTTTACTTTGGAAACATTTTTGGGGCTTTGAATCTGTAATCACCAGAAGACAGCTAAAGTAGAAGTAGGAACTTAGAACAGCTTGTGGAAATGAACTGAAGTATCCATACAAATTTTGATACTAGTTTAGTGCTAACCACTCAGCTGAGTCCCAGTAGCCATGACATTTGTGTGACCTATTTGTGTCCCTTGTGTTAGTTCTAACGCCAGCCTTTCCCCAAAATTTTCTGTACCACAAAATATTCAAGAGAAAAAAGAAAATGAATTTTCAACCAATGATGCAAGTGAACGCTGTTGGGATTTTTCCAGTAGCTGCTAGAACATTGCACCTTTTCAGTACAGTGTCTTGATAATGCCAATACTCATTTTGTGCCTTCTCTAGTCAGAGCCTTCTATCTCCAAGACTGCCTCAGAGAATGAGATCCCAATTCCTTAGAGTAGGCGTGTGATTTGTTGAAATTTATCTGTAGTCCCAGGCAATGTCAGTATACCAAAATGGATGCATTTAGTGTTGAGTACCTTACTATCAATTTCCCTTTCGAGCACTGGAATGTGATAAAGCATTAGAGCTTTACTCTTTGGAGTGAAATGTAATGCTGCATGGGCTGCAAAAAATAGATTGGAGAGAGCTTCTTGCAGCCATTTGTCCCAGTAATTGACCAATAGAGAACAATAAAGCAGTATTCCTCAATACCAATATCCTATTGGAAGCATCTTGCCCTTCCTCTTACACATCTTATAAATTGGAATGCTAGTAGGACAAGCACACTTCTCCATTAAATGGATAAATTTGACCCCTTCGACATGAACAACAGCAGCACAGCACCTACAAACAACAATGAAGAGATCCATTTCCATTGCTTCCCAGAACTTGTGGGCCTCTTTAAGGGCAAAAGTAATCTTTTCACGTTCTATCTTGAGGCAGTGACCAGATTGGCTCTGAAGCTGGTGCCTACATTCGTCACATTCTGGCAGTAGACATCTCCAGCTAACTTTCTTTCCAAGTAACTCCTAAACTTTATAAAATTAAATAATCTGATGAAAAACGTCAGAAGGTATAACCACAGAAAGAATATCATGGCCAACAGAGAAGTGACAATTTCGCCAAAAATTGCTCCTTGCATGTTAAAAATGCATCACGCACATCTGCAATAAGAAGGGATCCTGTTCCCCTGAAAAGCGTAATCTCATAACACATCATTTAATGTGAAAGATCACCTAACAGCCTACTCATTTTTGACCTAACCTAGTGCTCTGTTGGAATAGTTATATGGAAGAAAAAAAGCATGCTTTTTCCAGGTAACAGTCTAGTAGGTTTTCCCGGCTCAATTCCTCTTTTTCTCTGCTATCTCTGGCCCCAGCATGTGATTTTTTTTTTTAAAGCATTGCAAAATGTCAATACACAAACAAAGGAGACCAGAAGCAACCCCCTGCTTATCACAGAATCTTGTTTTATAAACTGAGAAACACTGACATGTAATGAAACCTTATTCCTTTTTTTCCCCTCCTCTTTGTAAATGATTTGCTTCCCCCTCCTTCTTCATGTATAAATAAACAGAAAAGTGTCTGTATATTTGGTGTTTTTTCTCCTTTGGTCTTCATAATCAAGGGCTATTACAGCAATAGATCTTATCTGTGGAATGGCAGTCCCTCTGCACCTTCGGTTCAGGTTTTTGTTTATGCTTGGCTGCCATTGTGGCTGTTCCTGATAGTTTTAGGTCAGCCATGACAGACTATGGGTGACACTAAATAAACAAGCTGGGAGTCTGGGACCAGCCAGGAAGGAGTGGTACTAGGGCTCACAGTTTGATTTTCCTTGATTAATCACCCCTTTTATTTAGAAGAACTTATTGTGTACAGTACCTGCTTGTCTGGCTAAGCAAATTACACCATCAACCAGCAGGGACTTAGAAATCCTCATAAACAAAGAGAAACAAGGAAGACAGGTACAGCTTACTCAACTGCAAAGTGAAGCTGCAGCATGATCAGGGCTGTTTATTTATTTTCAAATAGTGTATAGCTCTTTCTTCTGCTGCTTGTTATCCTGCTCTGACCTAAGTAACCTTGTCAAGCCACCTCCCAGGTTGCCCAGATCGCCACAACCAGCAGACTAATCATTCTGAATGATAAGAAGGAGCATGAGTTTTTTAGTGATCAGTGTGTCAGTATCTATCTTGGCTCCCCAGAATCACTCTTCGTGTGTGTATGTGTGTGTGTGTGTGTGTGTGTGTGCGCGCGCGTGTTACAGCTACTAGGTTTAGAGAGGAGGCTGCCGAATGGCGCCATGCTTTATTGTATTTTCTGCTCTGCAACTCAGTTCAGAATCATCCCCTGTGTTTCTACTGTAGAGCAAGCACTACAGCACTCACTGTAAAATCATCATTATCCATTAATTTCCTCAAATTGGGCTCATGAATTAAGCAAAGATTTGTGACTTGCATAGCCGGCTATAACCACCTGGGAAGAAAACAATTTACTCCTCAAACTATGCATAGTGTAAAGACATGACTGTCAGGAATATTGAGAATCTTCGATTCACATTCAGCAGGTTAACTAACACAACGTCCTGAGAGTTGTCCACATTGCAATAACAAAGGTAAGTATAATAATAAAATTCAGAAAAGTCCCAAATAATTCAATTAGAAAAACAACTACTACCAAAAGCTATGAACAGAGAGTTCATGGACAAATATGAATATAGACCTTTACCAGTCATTAAAGAGGAATAAATATCAACATTATCAAAATATAATTTTTCACCTATCAAAAATGCAGCATTTAAAAATCACGGGTGTTACTCTGTACTGGTGAAATTATGGTGATTTGGGTTTTCTTATACTCTCCTGCTGCCAATGAGAAAATACATTGACATGATCTTTCTGGAAAGTTAAAATTCCTGTGGCCACCGTCATATTCTAAGGCAGTTCTTAAACTTTAATGTGTATTAGAATCACCTGGGGATCTTTTTAGAAACTCATGTTCTGATTGAATAAGTAAGTCCAGGTGGGGACTGAGTCTTTATTTCCAACAAGCTTAAAGGCAGTGGGAATGCTGCAGGTTCAGAAACCACATTTAAATTAAAAGTACTAGGAGGCTCCCCAGCAGTTTCCCCAAAAGGGCTTGTACTATGGAAGTGGATGTGGAAGGCAGGCAACAGCACACAAGTGGCGACCAGGGTATAAGACAGTGAGAGAAAAGGATGACCCAAAGTACAGCCGATGCTTTAAGCCTAGAGCTTTCTTAAGAAGTTGGTGAGTTCTATTTTGGATGTGATATTTGGAAGAAACCAGTGGTGTAATCTTAAGGATATTTGTAAAAGGCAGGGGGACATGCACGTATAGAGCATCAAAGAATGTTTAGAGTAGAGGCATATTAGGTTGAACCATATGAAACTGCCAAGAGTCAACCACTTTTAACCTACAAAGATGGCCATTTCATATGGTTCAACCTGTTAAATTTGAAGATTGGTTTAATGGAGATGATAATTGGACATACGAAGGTACATGAGACTAGCAAAGCTAAGCATGAAGACTGAGGTTGGGAAATGTCCACTTTTAGGGAATAAGCAGAGAAGGTGAAATAAAGGAGTCTGTGTTGGTTTGTTAGGATTGCCGTAATGAAGTACCGCAGACTGGGTAGATTATAATAAAAATCTATTTCTCACAGTTCTGGAGGCTGCAAGTCGGAGATCAAGGTGTCAGCAGAGACAGTTTCTTCTGAGGCCTCTGTCCTTGGCATGTAGATGGCTGTCTTCTCCCTGTGTCTTCATGTGGTCTTCCTTCTCTACATGTCTATGCCCTAATTTCCCCTTCTTATAATGACACCAGCAATATTGCATTAGGGCCCACTCTGATAACCTCATTTTAATTGAATTCCTCTTTAAAGACCTGATCTCCAAATGTAATCACATTCTGAAGTACTGTGGGTTAGGACTTCAATATATGATTTTGTGGGGGCAACACAATTCAGCCCATAACAGAGACCAATAGGGAATTTTTAAAAAGATAGGAAGAGCCAGCATTGCATTCTCAGAGTCTGGAAGAAACAGTCTCAGCAGTGAGCCCCATAAACAAGAATGCAATGTGAAGGTGATAGATGAGTTGTTGGAAGGGGCCAATGGACTCAAGATTTGAAGGTCTTTGCTGACATTTGGAAAAGCAGTTTGAGCGATAAAATTGGCTGTGGACTCAGTCAGAATAGGAAGGGAAAAGCAGTTTGAGTGATAAAATTGGCTGTGGACTCAGAATAGGAAGGGAAAGAGGTGAAGACATCATAAGAATATTAAAGAGGCCAATTGGACCAAATAAAACAAACATAAATGTATGGCAGTCCTGGGTCCAGCCCCAGTACGAACTGAGAAACTTCATTTCTCTTCCATTGAGTGACTTCTTCACTTCCCTAGAAAGAAGCCCAAATTTCATTACCTTAAACAATGTGTAGTCCTATTTCCTGTCGCCACGTCTATACTACCGTTCCTGGTGCCTTTAGGATAGAGTATACATTGTGAGTATACACAGTGAATCATTGACAATTCACCCCTCTCTGGTAGATGGAGTTTACTAAGAACTAACTTCAGAGAGAGGAAGGAAAATGGCTCTCTTTTATCTCAAAACATATCTGGGAATGAAAGTTAGCAGTGAGTCATTCAAATAAGTTATGATTATATGACTGTCCTAATCTGTTTGCATGGCCATAACAAAATACCATAGATGGGGTGACTTAAACAACAGACATTTATTTCTCACAGTTCTGGAAGTCTGTAATCAGGATGCTGGCATAGCTAAGTTCTTGTTAAAGATACTCTTTCTGGGCCGGTGCGGTGGCTCACGCCTGTAATCCCAGCACTTTGGGAGGCCAAGTCGGGTGGATCACAAGGTCAGGAAATCAAGACCATCCCGGCTAACACGGTAAAACCCCATCTCTACTAAAAATACAAAAAATTAGCCGGGTGTGGTGGTGGGCGCCTGTAGTCCCAGCTGCTCGGGAGGCTGAGGCAGGAGAATGGCGTGAACCTGGGAGGTGGAGCTTGCAGTGAGCCCAGATGGCACCACTGCACTCCAGCCTGGGCGACAGAGTGAGACTCTGTCTAAAAAAAAAAAAAAAAAAAAAAAAGAAGATACTCTTTCTGATTTGCAGGTGGCCATTTTCTCCTTGTGGCCTCACATGGCAGAGAACAGAAAAGGAAGCAAGCTCTCTAGTGTCTCTTCTTATAAGGTAACTAATCCCATTCATGAGGGTTCCACCCTCATGACCTAATAACCTCCTAAAGGCCTCACCTCCTGATGCCACCACACTGGGGGGTTAGGTCTTAACATATGAATTTTAGGGAGACACAAACATTCATTCTACAGCAGTGACATCATTTACATAACAGCACATGCCACACCCCACTCTGGCAGAGAAGATGCAGTTTTTATTTTTTATAGAAGTTTTATCTGTCCTCATGATCTTCATACCAGTAGATATCATGGAAAAGGAAGTAAACTTAATCCAAATAAAAATATTTTAGTTTAAACATTCAGCTCACTGATAATTCACTCTCCATCAGGATTGTCTTAAGTATTCTCTTTTGGAAATTTAGCCACTTGCAGATTTTGATACCCTTTCCCTTCTCTTATCAAAATGATATTTGGGTGTATGTTGGAGGCAGGGGCTTATCAGGTCTTTGTGGCAGGGGATGGAAGGAGCCCTCAGACCTGACAGTGACTCTAGCTTCTCTGATCTCTGCTATCATGTCTCCTTCTCACCTGGTTGCTACTTTCTCTGAAGGCATTTAGGTCTGAAGTCAGTAGCTGGTGTATGGCTCATTGATGAGTTAATGTATGGCTCATTCCCACTTGACTGTGGCCTGGAGGTGACCCCGATTCACCTTGACCCTTAATGTTGACTTGACACAGGTGTCCCGCACTTAACCGCTGCTTTGGTTTACTTCACCACAGCAGACAGCACGGTAGGCCCACTGGATCTCAACCATCTCAACTAGAATATGAATTCAGCAAAGGCAGAATTTTACCAGTAGATTTTACTCACTGCTATATTCCCAGTGCCTACAACAGTCTCTAATGCATAGCTGGCATGCAATAAATATTTGTGGGTAAATGAATGTGCTAGGATTGGCTCTTGCCATGCTAACAAAGGAAAATTCTTTCGCTCTCTTTCTCGCTCTCTTCTTCTCACCTAGTTCAAGTTTATTTGTCATGACTGCAAAAATCTTTACTTGAATATCAGAATCTGGATGTTAATTCTTTTTTTCACCATGTATCACTTTTCTAATTAGAGTCTTAATGCTTCCTCTTTCCACCCTTACCCAGAGGCAGATAGTTTCCTCAGCCTACAGAGCCTTTCATTTCACCAGCAGGGCTGAAGGCATAAGGAGCAAATGAAGTTACTTTTCACATTAGAAAATTTGATGGGACTCTGCCTCTCCTCTTACTTCTAGGGAGCAGGCCGGCCTGCCATAGGCCCATTCACCACAAGTCACAGTTGCTTGTGACTAATGACTAAGCCCACTGGGTCCTGGGAGTCAGCTCCACCAGCCCATTCAAATAAAGTACTCGGGAATATATTGTTTGCATTTTATCAGTAGTAAAGACGATCTTTCAGGACTCCATTAGCTCACTGCTGATGTATTTCTTGATTACTTCGGAATCTGGGCATGAAAGAGAAGAGTTATTTATTGTTCTGCCTCAGAAACCCCCAAAACTTGAATTGCCTCCTCAACCTCGATATATAAATGCATACTTCATCATTAGATAATGAAAAATCCAAAGTGTGAGTAATACAGATGAAATAAATGCCTAGGTTGAACCACTTAGCATGTTGCAAAGTATAGGCAATAACAGGGCTCCAGCATCCCACTGCTGTCCAGCCTCATCCATTTGTGTCCTTCTTGGCCAGGGCCACTTACAGCTTGTCCAGATTTTGTAAAGAAACAAATTTCAAGAACTTTTTTGTTAAACAGTTGTATTTTTTTTTTAAAGATCAGCATTATAAAGTTCTTCTTTGGCTAGTATAATGCCATGAAAGTTGGGAAACAGAGAAGCTCACTTAGTTCATATCCTAGGCATTTCTCTGTGCTCCATTGCCATAGCTGCAAATGGAACAAGTGGACTAGACGAGCTCTAACATGCCATTCTATAATTTTTCTAGACAGTTTGTCCTTTTTATCTCTTAAAATAAGAAAATAGTCTCAGCTAGAGGGCAAAAACTTTCATAAAGTCACCTCTACATTAAACGCACTTCTAAACATTATTTTTCTAAACTAAGTAAAATTACCATCGCATTCCTTCAGAGATGTTATTTGCAAACCAGTTCTGAGTGGTAACTTTTTGCTTTCAGAATGCATTTTAAACAGTGACGCTTTTTAAAAAGGGGTTTTTGGCCAGAGTAGTTGATGCCAGGATAGTTTAATTAGTTACGCATTTGCCTCCTATCCAGGTCCAATAAATATGCATTCATCAGCACAGCTGCATCTCAGCATGCACATTTAAATTAAAGAGGCTTCCTCAGAGGCTGGGGCAATCCTGGCATCTCTTCCCTTTGCCAGAACCCACATCACATCCTGAATCACTTGTCTCCTTAGAATAATTTCATAGGTGTCTTCTTGTGACAGTCACAAACATGTTGCCAGTTTTGATTTTCATATTGTTGCCTAACAACCTAGGGATTATTTTATAACTACAATAACAGCACCTAGTTTTTTAAACCATTTTGGATTTTTTCTCTCCATCTTAAATGATATACCTCAATGGAATTTGGTAAAAGAGATTCAAGAACAATTGCCCCATGTTTTTATGTTCACTACTGCTTTTCTAGAAGGAAACATCATTAATTGAAAGTGAAATTAAGCCCCAAAGATACTTTTTTGTACATTAAGATTCAAATGTAAGTTATCTCAGCTAATAGACATCAGAAGAACAGATATTTAAAATATGATGCTATTTCTGGAGTGTTAACATTTTTAATGATGTAGATATTATTTTGTTCCCAATCAGAAATTCCTAGCTAACAGGGAAAAGAACTATTGTTATGTCAGTTCTGACCAAGGCTGTGTCAGTCTCTGAACATTCATCCACAACTTGGACGTGACATAAGCAATGACGGATGAGCCAACTTGCTGTTTGCTCTCCCCTGCAGAGAGGGTGGGCTTCTTTCTTTTCCAGAGAGCCAGGGAGACAAGGATGGCAAGGAGATGGATGAGCACTCATAAGGCACCTGCAGGGGCACTGTATGTGTCACAAGCATCAGTGGCACCTGCCACCACATGGAACCAGGCCAGGAGGCATTAGGACCAGCACCAACTCCTCCTAGACTGGACTCCTCAGGGTGGAACCAGAGCAGAAAAGACCTCTCTTAACCACGTGCCAGTCCCCTCCCATGGCATTAAGGTGGCAGCAAGTTACACCTGCCGCCATCCCCCAACAGTGTTTGCAGTGTGAGTAGGGCAGTCCCCACATCTCAAAGACAGCCATAGGATGAACGAAACAGGAGGGAATGGCACAGGGGAGAGATGAAGAAGTGAAGCGAGAGATAGAGAAGAAGATCTTAGTTTTTTCTCCTACTATTCACTCCTTTAAATAATGAGAAGGTTAATGGTTTCTGCGGTTCTAAAATACACCTATGCCTGCCAGGTTCCTGAAGGTTAATCGCTGCTGCTGGGGGAGCTGCCCTATATTGCACTGCCTTTTAATGACTTTCCTGTAGGCAAACACCAGAAGAGGCCTGCCTGCAGGTGTGCTGCATGCCTGAGAGACCCACAGCCCCTCCCAGGAAAATAATCAAAATGATCCTGAGTTATTGGAAAAGTTTATTAGTGATTGACAGTGATTGATATTCAGGGGCAAATGTTGCTAGACGATTTCACATTTTTATCTGTCTTATAGGCTTTTTTAGTGAAATTTTCAATTATACAGCAACTGTTCTTTCCCTGTCACCTTGAAGTTTCTGTACTATCCGCAATGTGTTCATACAATTCATGCCTTTGAGAGGTTGACAAGGAAAGTGAATGACATAAAGCAACCAAGTCCTGGGCCACAGACACACTGTTTCCCTTTCCCCTGGTGACAGAGACTCCATGTTCAAATTCAGAAATTGAGATACACTGACACCTGTCTGAAACAGGAAATTCCAGGACAGAGAATTACCATAATTTTTTACAACAAACTATCTCCTAGTGACTCCAGAATTAAACTGACCTACATTCAGTCAGATTTCTAACCTGAAAAGTAGTTGTTAAAAATGTATGCCTTGACATTCTTTGGATGTAAAAGGTAGAAACTGTTACCAGGCATAGGAGTTAGTTTAGCCACTCATTTTTCTAGTAACATCAGAGTAATTACTTGCTTTCCTTTAAAACAGTTCTCACCTACATGGCCCTCTCTCATATATTTAGTCAATTAACAATGAGACTCACACTCATACACCGGTGTTCCCCTACTCAGAGTACTCATGGAAGGAGGTGGAAAAGCAGGCAGCCACCCCTGTGATATGTACAAGGACAGGGACAAGACCTCCCTCCACTAGTCATAATATGCTAGAGGGGCTGTCCTGGTTATCATTACAGCTTCATTTCTTTAGTTCTGGAGGGAATTTCTATCTTCTTTGCTTCCACTTTTATAAGACGATAAAATGAATAGCGGCCACATGTCTTCTTTGTTAACTGTGTAAGTGCAGTGTGGCAAAATACACACAGAAACACAGCAACAGGTTTAGTGTGGAAAGATACGTTGTTTTATTCCCAGCTCTATCAGTGTGAATTTGGGTCAGGCACATTGTTTCCTTCTGCTCCAGTTTAGTCATCTATATAAAATGGAATTAATACACTCTGCCCCACCCGTGTTCCTGGATGGTTGTGAAGGTCAAAGGAGATCATTTATAGAGGAATGCTGTGTAAACTATAGAGGCTCTGTCCATTCAATGTGTTATCATTTTCAGTTAATATCTTGGTGATGATTAAGTAATAGCTTAGTTACATCAACTCTGAGACCTAGAAAAAAATGCCTGGAATGAGGTGAGCAGTTCTAAGGTGAAGAATGCTGAGCATGATGAGGAGAAAAGACTATGAATACGGGGTAAGGCATCTAGGGTAGTCCCTCATTAGTAGTATTCATCAAATATGTATAGTATGCCTTTTCCAGGCACATGGAGGGATTTCATTTCCCTGCCCAATTTAATGATAGTGTGGCCATATTATTTACTTTGCAACAAAATGTAAGCTGAAGTACTGTTAATCAACAGGATACCTCCACCAACTTGGGTCTTTGACAGGTTATGATGTACAGAAAATCTTTGCTAACTCACATTAGACATGGAGCATCAGTAACAAATAACCTTTGTTGTGTTAAGTCACTGAGATACTAAGATCATTTGCTAGCTTTATTCTGCTGGTATAGATCAAAAAATAAACTCTGTGCACTAAACATCTGCTTAGATTCACCCCTGTCTCTGCTACACTTTTTATGTCCTGCTTTTTGATGGGAGAAACGTTGGTAATGATTTTCCTGTGAATAATTTACATTTATAACAATGATTCACGATTGGTCTAATCAGTAAGTTTTCTTTGGTTTATTTTACCAAAAAGTCAAGAGTAGATGCATTGTGGCTCAATTTTTAATTGGCTGAACATTTGGCAGCTTATCCTGATGCAAAACTGAGCGAACTTCTCTGTGCAGGAAAAGGCAACTTTGGGGTCTGGCAAATAACAAATAAATGCTAAACAAATTCTGGAGGAATGTTAATGGAGAAAGTCAAACCATGTTAGTTTTCAAGAAAAAGTTTGAAGCTTAAAGAAATGTCATAAAGGATGAAAAGGGTAGATTTAGTAGAAAGAAGAAGGAAGAAATTTTAGGAAGACTAAAGAGCAAATTTATAGCCACAAAAGGGCCCACCCTGGTCTTGACCATAGGTGGGAAAACCACCTATGGATATTTGAGGCCAGTGCCATCAGACACCTTTGATTGTAATTAATAAAAGCCAACTCTAATTTAAACAGAAAACAAAGTTTATTTGAAGGATAGTGAATAGCTGACAACATTGTAAGAAATCTAAAGGAATAGTCTCAACAAGGATGAATCAAAGCAAAATTGGAAGTCCAGAGTGCAGGGAAAGATGGACAACCTCCTCAGGGATAAGTGAGTTTCTGCCTCTTTCTTGTTGCCACTTTCAGGCTTCCTGTCACTCTGCACTTGTCAAATTCCAGAGAAAAGGACTGAATCATAGACTTCAGCATAGGCTATAGCAAGGGCAAGATACCTTGGTAGACAGTCCCAGTAGATCATGCAATAGAACAAGCAGATTCCCCTGTACCCAAATTGAGATGATGTCACCCAGAGAAACGAATGTTGAGTAGTAAAAAAAAAAAGAAAGAAAGAAAAGGTACACCAAAACCAAGCAACAGAAATGTAGTCCTGCAGGGCATTTAGATTTGGCTTACAAAATAGCTAGAAGATGTAGTAGGTAGAAAGCACATAGAATTGGCATTCCCTAAATAATGTTTATAGAAGATTAAACTTACTCTTATATATAGGTTATAAAACATTTAAAAAAGATAAAAGCAGTAGATAACTACACTACTAGGCACCCATGTGACACAGTTATGGCCTATAAAGTGCTGGTTTTTCAAGAGAAGAAGAAATTAACTTGAACCCTCTGAAAAATTGTTGTAGGTATCTTTGGACTTGGATTTGGGGGATTGAAAGAAAATGGAACTTAAGATGACTCATGCTGCAGCAAGACAATCAAATTATGTAGAAAAGTTTAACACTGAGCAGATAGTGACAATTAGAAATGATTCTCATTTAACAACTTTGAAGGCAACATATGAATTTCAAGATTCCTGCAAGTGATTAATCTTTTCTCTACATGATAAATTGAATTGAATTTCTATGTTTGGACTCAGTGAATGCTGATGGGCCCAAAAGTCTCCTTTTAAATCCATTTTTAAAAAATTTGTTGCCTCTCTTCCTTCTATTCATAACTATAAGAAATGTTCTTCAGATTGTGGAGAGTTCTAAATGGATTGATTGCTTGTTTTAAATAGCTCTTTCATTTCCTTTGGGGAAGGAATTGTACTTTTAAGAAGGCCTGCTCTGAGCCATAATGCACGATCATGATTCAGGGCTCCTCTTACATTTTCAAGCAGGAATATGAAAATGAGACACCTACAGCACCTGAAGAGAGTTAGAATTTTTCTCAGAAGACAATAGACTTTGTTGTTTTATCTGAATTGGGCGTGTGAATGTGGGGTATGCGAATTCACATCCGGGAACCCTCAAAGAAAGCATAGGAAGAGCAATGTAGGGAATGTTGAGAAGCATGAGAAATTAAGCTCTAAAGGAGCAGAACATATCCTTCTAAGGAAAGAGGCTGTAACAGAGAGGAGGGGAGATTTAGGCTGACAGACAAGGAAGTGGGAGGATAGAAGTTTTCAAAGGTTAACAACTTAATGAATGTTAAATTTCCAAAAATAGAAAAAATAAGATGTATGTTCTCATTTAAGAACTCCACACTCAGAGTTAAGAATGTTATTTTACTTCAATAATACAACTCCTAACAGAGAAAAGAGCCTGGAATCTAAGTATCAGGGTTGAAATATACCTTCCCTTAGGAATCACAAGTTCAAAGTCCAGCTGGCTCCGCAGATCTCCCTCCAGCCCCACAGATCTCCCTCCAGCCCCACAGAGGGACTAATTGAAGAATGGGCTGTGAGGAGAGATCTTTATTGGGGTCTTTCAGAAGAAGATCTTCAGAACCAAAATACATTGTAGTTTGAATGGACTTAAAATGAGTCTCTGAGGCTCAAGACTCCAAAGAAATTCTAACTCTTGGGGAAGGTTTGGAAGGCTTTTTATTTATAATGTTCACAAATAAAAAATGGTAGCCAGCTGTTCTCCTGATCTGGTCTTTGCCAAAACCAGAAGAAGAAAGGATCTTAAATCACAAAAACAGGATTGTTTAAACATAAGGAAAGACTTGCTACTTTGATTCAGTAGAAACAAACATTGTACTATGGGGTTCAGGAAACACAGATTCTAAGGCAGAGCTTTGCCACTATCAGATTAAAGAGGACAAATTATGAAAAGTGTATGAGCCTCAGTTTCCTCTTCTTTAGAAGAATGGTGTACTAGATTCTTATTCATGTCACTTATATAGTTAGTGGCAGAGCTGTGTCTGGAATCCATGCTTCTCAGTATCATCCACTCCCTTAATCCATTATCCATCTCCAACCTGTGCAATAAAAGGCTTGATACAAACTGAGGAAAGAGAGATGAGAATTTGTTTGGAAAAGGATGGTTAGAGCTGAGCATTTGAAGGGATGGGGTGCTTCCTTACTATCATGCCACATTGGGAAAATGATTCAATAAAACCTTAGGAATGCTGAAACTGGTACCTGACTTTCACCTAGAAAAGTTTAATGATGAGTGAGTGGCTTGAGTTCCCTCTATGAACACAGTGAGAAGAAGCACAATGGATACAAGCCACCCTTTGATCAACAACAGGTAAGGGTACTTATTTCCCATAGATGGAATACAGCAGCAGGTCTTCAGTATTTGAAAACTTCCCACCCAATAGACAGAATAGACTAAAAGCCTCTGTAAAGGCAGGAGAAGCAGACCAGAAACAGGAGGCAGGTGTGGTTATTCAGAGGTGCATCACCTGTAACAAGGCATGATGTGGCATGAGGTCTCTGCCATGAATCTGAAAAGAACCCACAAGGTCTTTCATGAAACACAGAACCAGTACCTTTCCCTGGGCCACACATAGGACCCCAATGACATTAGAACTTGCTCTTCCCAACCTCTTCAAGGAGAACTACAAACCACTGCTCAAGGAAATAAGAGAGGACACAAAGAAATGGAAAACATTCCATCCTCATGAATAGGAAGAATCAGTATCATGAAAATGGCCATACTGCCCAAAGTAATTTATAGATTCAATGCTATTCCCATCAAACTGCCATTGACATTCTTCACAGAATTAGAAAAAACTACTTTAAATTTCAAATGGAACCTAAAAAAGAGCACTTATAGCCAAGACTATCCTAAGCAAAAAGAACAAGGCTGGAGGCATCACACTACCTAACTTCAAACTATACTATAAGCCTACAGTAACCAAAACAGCATGGTACTGGTACCAAAACAGGCATATAGATCAATGGAACAGAACAGAGGCCTCAGAAATAACACCACACATCTACAACCATCTGATCTTTGACAAACCTGACAGAAACAAGCGATGGGGAAAAGATTCCCTATTTAATAAATGGTGTTGGGAAAACTGGCTAGCCATATGCAGAAAACTGAAACTGGACCCCTTCCTTATACCTTATACAAAAATTAACTCACGATGGATTAAAGACTTAAATGTAAAACCCAAAACCATAAATATCCTAGAAGACAACCTAGGCAATACCATTCAGGACATAGGCATGGGCAAAGACTTCTTGACGAAAGCACCAAAAGCAATTGCAACAAAAGCCAAAAATGACAAGTGGGATCTAATTAAACTAAAGAGCTTCTGCACAGCAAAAGAAACTAGCATCAGAGTGAACAGACAACCCACTGAATGGGAGAAAATTTTTGCAATCTACCCATCTGACAAAGGTCCAATATCCAGAACCTACAAGGAACTTAAACAAATTTACAAGAAAAAAACAACCCCATCAAAAAGTGGGCAAAGGATATGGACAGACACTTCTTGGAAGAAAACATTTATGCGGCCAAGAAACATATGAAAAAGAGGTCATCATCACTGATCATTAGAGAAATGCAAATCAAAACCACAATGAGATACCATCTCACACCAGTCAGAATGGTGATTATTAAAAAGTCAAGAAAAATAGATGCTGGTGAGGCTGTGAAGAAATAGAAATGCTTTTGCACTGTTGATGGGAATGTAGATTGGTTCAACCATTGTGGAGGACAGTGTGGTGATTCCTCAGGGATCTAGAATCAGAAATACCATTTGATCCAGCAATCCCATTACTGAGTATATACCCAAAGGAATATAAATCATTCTACTATAAAGACACATGTATGTTTATTGCAGCACTATTTACGATAGCAAAGACATGGAACCAACCCAGACCATCAATGATAGACTGAGAAAAAGAAAATGTGGTACATATACACCATGGAATACTATGCAGCCATAAAAAAGAATGAGATCATGTCCTTTGCAGGAACATGGATGAAGCTGGACGCCATCATCCTCAGCAAACTAACATAGGAACAGAAAACCAAACACCACATGTTGTCACTCATAAGTGGGAGTTGAACAATGAGAACACATGGACACAGGGAGGGGAACAACACACACTGGGGCCTGTCAGGGGGTGGGGAGCAAGGGGAGGGATAGCATTAGGACAATTACCTAATGCATGCAGGGCTTAAAACCTAGACGACGAGTTGATAGGTAAAGCAAACCACCATGGCATGTGTATACCTATGTAACATACCTGCATGTTCTGCACATGTATCCCAGAACTTAAAGTAAAATTTTTTTGAAAAGTAGCATTTAAAAAAAAAAGAAATATTTCTTTCCCTTCTCATTATACCTCTTTCTTGTACCCAACTTTTAAAAAGTGAAATCTTAATAGTATCTGAAAGTTAGAAAGTAGGTAAAGTGAAGGAATAAAAACAAGGGGGGAAGGAAAGGAGGGAGGGAGGGAGAGAAGGAAAGAAACTTAGCATAGTCCCTTTCACTACCATAAACTTCTTTTTTTTTTCCTTTCTTTTTTTTTTAGACAGAGTATTGCTCTGTTGCCCAGGCTGGAGTGCAGTGGCTGTAATCTCTGCCCATTGCAACCCCTGCCTCCCTGGTTCAAGTGATTCTCCTGCCTCAGCTTCCTGAGTAGCTGGGACTACAGGTGCGCACCACCACACCAGTTAATTTTTGTATTTTTAGTAGAGACAGGGTTTTGCCATGTTGGCCAGGCTGGTCTTGAAGTCCTGACCTCAGGTGAGCCACCCACTTCAGCTTCCCAAAGTGCTGGGATTACAGGCATGAACCACCACACCCGGCACCTACCATAAATTTCTAAATATGGGTCAAGCCTGAACTGCTGAGCCACAGTGGGGAAGGGAGAAATCTGAGATTGGATGAGAGATTAAAATTTTGATCTTAGGCTCAAGTGGATTTAAAATATCTTTTAAAGAGGCGGGTAGACTATTGTTCAGCAATGACTCACTCCCCTTTAACTCTGGAGGAGTATGCTGCCCTGCTTATTTAAGCATTGGGTTGGAGGTGAGTATGTGAACATTCCAAGCCCAGGCCTGCAGTTGAAAGCATGAGTGTTTTCTGACACCCTCCGGGAATTCCTGACTTCACTAAGAGAAGAACATGCCCCAGAAAGTCTGCCTCTCTAGCTGGGACCTCATAATGAGACAAATGGAGTAGAGCTATATCTTAGTCAGTTTGGGCTGCAATAACAAAATATCTTAGACTGGGTGGTTTATAAACAATGGAAATTTATTTCTCACTTTTCTAGAGGATTGAAATCTGGGATCAGGGTGCCCTTATAATCAAGGCCCTCTTCCAGGTGGCAAACTGTCATCTTCTCATTGTATCCTCACATGGGCAAAAGAGGGTGAGCTCTCTAGGGTCCCCTTTACTCATTCATGAAGGCGCCACCTTCATGACCTACTTGCCTCCCAAAGGCCTCACCTCTTAATAGCACCACATTGAAGGTTAGGCTTTCAACATATGAATGGGGGAGGGGTGACACATTCAGTCCCTTGCAAACTACTACAGGCAACTGAACAACTGCAGCCTGATGCAGAGCCACTCAGCTGAACCACTTGCCCATGAGCATGAGAAACAAAGCTTATTGCCTGAGTGTGAGGATGGATGTTGTACATCATTATTGTAGCAATAGCTGACTGAAATCAATAGTAATACATTCACATAGATTAAAAGTCAAGGAGACTGAAAAGATATTCAGTGAAAAGTTTCCCTCCCTCTACAGTTATTCGAGCCAACAACTCCTTCCCATCAGCAAATATTTGTATTACTTCCTTGGTGATATTCCAAGTGATATTTAATGCACACATAATTAAATATGAATATATACGCTTTCCCTTTTATTACATATAGTTTATGGTATTCACTCTCCTGCTCTTTTTCCCCCTTAACATTTTGTGTCAATATATAAAGAACATCATTTCTTGTCACAACATGGTGTCCATTATATTAATGTATGGATGTTAGTTTCTAATACAGTACCTGAAAAGGATCAAAACAAGTTAGGAGATCTGTCCAATATATTGTCCAGAGGTAGTCATGGAGAAATGATGGGATGTGATTGAAAAGCTATATCAGCAGAGGATAAAATTGTTTCCTGCCTTGAACCCTACTGAGCCTAGACCATTCAATAAGCCGATTGTTGGGATTGAAAGTTAATACATATAAGTCACTTAGAAAAGTGTCTGGCATATAGTAAGTGCTCGGTATATATTTAGTATTATAATTACCATTTTCATAATCTGCACCCTTCCTTCTCAGATTCACCCCAATCAATATATTGAAACCTCTGAGGTGGCATAATTTGCCTCCTTGGATCCCCCCACCGACTCAATTTTTTTTATAGTTCTTATTCCCCTTGACTTCTCTGCAACATTGAAAATGATTTTCCCCTCTTTCCCCTCTGTCCAGCTTTGGCTGAACTGACCTTGCACTATCAAAGTTTCAAGGGCTCTTCTTCCACCCCCTCTGAGAACTGCTATGCTGTGTCCTCATCCCTTCTCATTGTCTATGTTTCACATTGGAACAGCACCATATAGATTTTGGAGTCAGAGAGACTGGTTCAAATCTGAGTGATATGTTAATTCTTATGCAGTCTGGGACCTTGCTGAGCATCATTTTTTTCTAATACATAAAATGGAAGGAATTACACATAGTCCACAAGATTTTTGTGAGGTTTAAATGACATAACATAGATAATGTGCGTAGCACATAGTAGCTTCACAATAAATGTTCTCTCGCTTAACTGCAATTTTTTTAATCCTCCCTTTCCTTACTGAGTTTTTGTCATTTCCATGGTTTCACAAGCTATCTCTAAGTAAGCGATCCCGACATCTCTATGTATCACCTCATCCCTATTTTACAGACAAGTAAACAAAGTCTCACCTTTTCCTGTGTCCACGGACCTGTTAGACATCACAAATAAATGTCATTGGCCTCTCCATTGCAACAGATCCAAACCAGTCTTTCTTCGCCACTGATTCCCAATTTTTCTGACCCCTTGTCCCTCTCATTTCTGTGAATGATGCTACTTACCCATTCTTCAAACCTCACAGCCCTCTTCAATTCTTTCCTCTCCCATTGCTCATCTTTCCATTCATTTGCCAAGCCCATACCTTCACAATGATTCTTACAAAATAAAAGGTCTTCAGAGCTGGGAGAAATTTTCATGATCACATAGGAAACCATCTCCATTCCAGAGATGAAGCAAACTGAGACCTGTAGGAATAAGGGGAGGTTTAATTGGAAGAGTGTTTGGACCAACATCTAAGTCGTCTGACATGCAGGACAGTGGTCTTTCTGTGACACCTCACTGATAGACTTATTTCTCAACATTTCTGCTGCCTCCACTGTGGTGCAAGCCATCACTATGCCTGTTCCTTTATGACAGCAGCCTTCTACCTCTCCTCCTGGCCTCCATTCATCTACCCTTCCTGACTAATCTCACGACAGCACAGCTCTTCCGCCATTAGGCAGGAGTATGGTGTCTGCTCTGGTGCCCACAGTGTAGACCTACAGGACTATTTTTCATGCTTGGCCTTTTATGTAATCACCTTCATGGCTTCAGTCATATTCATATTCACATACATTTTAACATTTATGTAATAGTTTTCTCAACTGAGCTTCACACGGACTCATTTTTTTTCTACTTCATTCTTAGCAATCATCATCTGTGAAATCATGAGTTGGGTTCACTAGTGTATTTGTGAATGTATGTTGAAATATATATTACCATTAAAATTAAAAGATACCTTCCTGTTTGTCACCTAAAAGCATGTCAAAGACCACATTACGGAGACACTAAATCAGCAAATAAGTGAATATTCAAGGATGACAGTATTTGGGGTGAAGAAAATTTTCAAACAATTAGAATATTCTGAAAATGAGGTACTACGTTTCACTAGAGATACGCAAACCAAGATTGGTCAATAAGGGATGTTGTAGAGGAAACATATCCAATAGAAACTTAGCTTATCTTGAAGGTTTTGACTAACCCTCAGAGTCCAGTAGTTTTTAGTTTGCTACTATCAGATTAATGTTTTGTAGAATCCATTTTAACTCACCTTTCTTCCATGAAAAAAGCTGTAGTTGCTTCCTATTGTCTTCTAAATAAAGTATGTTATGAAATGAGTGACTCACTTCTTCCTTTTAACTTACTAAAGTTTCTAGTAAATAAAACCTGCTTGTTTATTTCATCGACTTCTTTTAACTTTCACTCCTCCAGGCATTAATTTTAGTTTCCCTCCAGAAAAAAGACACTTTCAACCCCAAGTCTAAGGTTATTCCCTAAGTGGGAACTCCATTGGAACTAATAGAAGGCATGAGTGTTTTAATTCTTTTGGAGTTATGAACATTTACCTCATACTAGATCACAGAATAAAGCCTGGGGTACTCTCATTCTTTAATTTCTATTCTGTTTTTGCTTCCCATTTCTTTTAAAAATAACAACTTCAACATTCTCAAAAAAGTGAGAAGACTCTAGACTACTAATCTCTCTCTCTTTCTGAAGAAGAGAATTTATAGCTTTTAATGGTTGTGAAAACCAGGAAATAATAGAGAAATCATGCATTCTGCAGGAATTCTCCTGAGTGTATTAAATTAAACTGACAGCGTTGATATCGCTATTCATGTTGAAATAATTAGCAATTCTAAGGCTATTAATGGTGTATTGTATCACTGTTTTAGAATTGGTAGGATGAATGCAAAAACCTTTTGGTGACTTTTGCTCCTACTAAAATTTAATTAGCCTTAGTTACTGACCTCATGTTTTATGTAACAGTACACTCCAAAATGATCTCATAAAGAATTGAAGTTTTGGAAGAAAGTCATTCTTGCTTTAAAAACTAGCATCACATAAAAGTTCTCTGAGTGTTTTTTAACTACTTTTGCAAAGTATTCTTATAATTGCTAACATTACCTATGGGACTGACTGACTTTGAATTTAATTGAAGTAAAAATGCGTCTCTTTGACAAGGTCACTTTTTAAAGTAGAGCTGCACTACTTTGCATTACGGTTCTGATTTTTTTCATTCTAAATTAACTATGATGTATAAAATTATCGATAAAGAATAATACCTTGGCCATCAAATATTAATAATGATTACAAGAGAGGAAAACTACCTTTAATGCACATAAAATTTATGGTTGGTAATGATCTCTACTAAATCTGCAAGACTGGGTCTGTACAGTGAAGAGCAGGCAATGTAATAGGGCTCAATGGAAGGATCTAATTCAGATCTTGCTCCATAAGAGATTTGAGACTATGAAGTCTACCCTAGCTGAAATTAAACCAACCCTTAAAAACAAAACAAAACATGAAGTACCACAAATGGTATGGTAGTGGTGGTGTCATTGAGGGTAGATGAGAAGTTAGCCCACCAAGAATTCTATGTGGCTTATTTGGAGTTTTTTAAAAATACCTTATGATTGCATGTTGCTCTGAAAGCACATTATGGTAATGACTATTTTGTATTACTAGCTAATCATTTTGACAATTTCATAGATATTGGACTTTCTGCTCCTTCAGAAAGTTGCTACAAAATGTACCCTCCCAATTCCAAGAAAAAGGAAAAGTATGTTCTAATCTTCCTTCTGGTAGGTCAGTTGGTCCAGAAGCTTAGACTAAACTTCCTTCTGATTCATACTGGGCAAATGATGCACAAGAGCTCAATATGTTCAGAGTGCAATGTTTGAGCTACATGTGGTTCTTTAAGACTTATTTCAGGATACAAGTTTATTAAGCTAGGAGATGCAGGGCATATAGTAGTGGTGGGGCTCTCTTTGTTCACAGTATTTGCAAAAATCAATTAAGGCAGGGATGGTATTCCAAGATGATTCACAAACTGTGACCATTGCAGCATTAGCTTTAAGGAATGAAGGAAGCAGCCTGGTAGGTTAGAAAGAGCATCAGACCAAGAGGTAAAAGAAAAAAACAAACAAAATACTGGTTTTGAGATTCAGCAAAGTGCAAGATGCAAACAAGAACAAATCAGCAAATTCCTATGAGCTTTAGTTTCCTCAGTCATAACATGAAGTTAATATATATTGACTCCCAAATCAAGTGAGTTAATAGGTATAAAATATATTTGAAATCCCAGGAGCTATACATATATAAGTTGCTGTTATTACTAAAGGTAACTCAATTTTACCATGTAAGACCATGTTCATCATGTAGGACTCCCTGAACCAGGACATGTGGCCTACACAGACATACCATTCTGGTTCTATCCCATCTCCACACAGAAGACAGAGTTGTAAGAATTCTCTATGTAGCCAAGTAATTTATTGTGCCCATGATTTATATCATATTACAATCAATCAACAAACTAATGTTGACTACCTGCTCTGTGTGGAATGGCATGTTAAGCCTTGTGGAATTTCAAAAAAATTAATGAAAAAAGATATATCATTGAATTAAAAGTACTGAGCAGACACACGAACAAGATAAAGAATGCTTAGAAAAAATATCAAGTCAAAGGAAGCTATCTAGGTGTTCGTAGATTACTAAACCGTATCAATAAAGGAGGTGTTGTTGAGGAAGAAACTTGTTAAAAGGTCCTAGACCTAGAGTAGCAGAGTACAAGGGGTAAAGATATTTTCAGGGAAAAATAATGGTATGGTACAGCAAGAACCTATTTCATGGCTTCCTTCACTGGCCTGTTTAGTCTTGCAGTCATATATTCTCCCCTTGCTTCTCCTCCAGACATCTGTTCAATAAATAACTATAGCTTTAGTACTGCAGAGATCAAATATATATATATATATATGTGTGTGTGTGTGTGTGTGTGTGTGTGTGTGTATATATATATGTGTGTGTGTGTATATATATATATATATATATATATATCTGCTTTCTAGAAGCATAAGTCCTAAAATAAAATTAAAGCAAAAATGGACTCTTATTAGAAAGATTTTAGAATCTTCCACATATGCACATCCAATAAGAGAGGGCTTCCTGGAAAAGATGGATTTTTATGTAGAGAGTTTAAAAGGACACATATGTGCATTCCTAGCTGTTCCTTTTTCTTTGCAGAGGTAGAGCAAGGTTTTCTTTTTTCTTTTTATTATAGATACAACAGTACAGCACTAGAGTCTGAGAATGTGAGTGTTACATGCAGTGAGACTTGCTGAGTGACCTTAGGCAAGTCACTTACCGAGCCAAGTCTCAGTTCTTCCACTCAAAATAAGAATTTCATATGTTCTTCATATAGCACATTGAATTCTCGTGAGGGAAAAAAGATGAATTCATAAAGATGAATTATTTGCTGCTGTTAAGATTCTCTTTAAAAAATTCAAAATATTTGTAAGAAAACTTTTCACCCTTTGAGTACAAAATTTTCACAACACTTACTCTTTTCTATATTAACTGGAACTGAGCCATGAGAAAGTCCACTATGGATGGTGACAGGCTGAAAATGAGACTCAGCCCTTGAGAAACAGAAGACTCTGTCCCTGAGACATGCAATGCAATCCAACGAAGGAGAGGAGGATTACTCCACCTCATCGTGGAGGACTGCTCTTCAGCTTTTATTGAAAATTTTCTACATCCTCTACTAATTATTCCTAAATGTACATATAAATTAGCCACTCAACAAGAATATTTAAAATTGCCTTCCAGGCTGGTCATGGTGGTTCAGCCTGTAATCTGCACACTTTGGGAGGCTGAGGCGGGCGGATCACTTGAGGCCGGGAGTTCGAGACCAGCCTGGCCAATATGGCAAAATTCCGACTTCACTAAAAGTACAAAAATTGGCCAGGCATGGTGGCACATGCCTGTAATCCCAGCTACTCAGGAAGCTGAGGCAGGAGAATTGCTTGCACCCAGGAGGCAGAGGTTGCAGTGAGCGGATATCGTGTCACTGCATTCCAGCCTGGGTGACAGGGTAAGACAGCCTAAAAAGTAAATAAATAAAAATAAATAAAATAAAATTGCCTTCCAATTATATTTCTGGACTTTAGCCTCTCAAACTGTTCAAGAAGAACAAATAGAATTCCTTCAAAGAAAAACTAACTTCTCTGAGGTCTTTCCCATAGACTGATCAGGAAAGGTGACTTCTTTAATGAAAGTATAATGTCATACAGTGTAGCCCAAGAAAATGTGGAAGAAGTTATCTGATCTGGAGGCCTACTTTTTTAAAAAGTAACATGTGACTAGAAAATCATGAAGACTCAATATCCTCAACAATTCTACATGAGTTTTCAAAAATCAAAATTTACCTGTCATCAATGTGATAGAATGGAAGAAATGCTATTTTTTATTTTCTCACATGAATTTTAGATAACAACTTGAAAATGGATTCTTGAATTGACAGTGCCAGTAGTCAAATCCCATCTTCTAACCTCATCCCCAAACAAGGTCAGGGAAAGCTCTTGAAAGTGGCTTATTTTACATCATAGCCTCAGGTTAAGCCAAAATAATCCAGGAGGAGGAAAACAACAACCATAACAACAAAAAAATTCCCACAGTGAGCTACACACCCCAGATGCCCAGACTTTCCGTGGGATCTTAAATGAGGGTCAGAGGTCAGTGCTAAGGAGCCTGGTGAAACAGTGAGAACCAAGATCCTGTTTCCATTTTAATGCCCTTATGTTTATGTTTTGCGTTCTGCAGGGGAAAGGCCCAGACATTTCCACTTCCAGAGAGGCCAGAGAAAACTGCACTCGATATAGTAGTTTGACAGAAAAACAGGGATGTTTCATGGGGCTAAGGGTAATCTCAGTTCAAAAAATACAGAACTACCAAAAAGCACAGTTAGCTGAAAGTTCACATCCAATGCTGGCCTAAAATTAAAGTACCTTATGAAAATAAAGGCCATTGTTTTCAATCTGCTCCTTCACCTCTCCACCCACACACCTCCAGAGAAGGCTGCTTGTGTTTAAATTTAGCAGCAATGTGAGTTACATAATTGTCATGCGCCAGCTCAGTGTCCCAGTCTCCCAATTTGTCATGCCTGACCTTCCTATCACACTCTGATAAACTTCATGCTATTACAGCTGCTTATTTTGTTTATGTTAGAGACTGAAATGATAGTTTATCATTCATTTAACTTTACCTACTTTCTTGGCCACTTACTTCAGTAAAAACTTGTTTTTCTTTCTACAGAAAAATTTTCTTCCGTGGGTAAAATGCTGGACCCTCTCCCACTAACCCTTAAAGTGCCATCTCTTTCTCAGCTTCTGAACCTTTGGTGACCTTGGAAACTAGATTCAAATCAATGCTTCATGTAGTTCCTGAGCTTATCACTTTTAGATAACTTTAACTTCTGGTTTCCAGGCCAGGCCTCACTGGAAATCCTGAAACAACATAAGCATGTTCATTCTGGAGGGAAGTCCAGAGGGGATCAGAAATGCCACAGTCTCTTCTATCCTGACCTTACCAAAGGTCTAATTGGTACTGGCTGGAATTCAGGAGGAGTGAGCTTCCCTAACCATCTTGTGGCTGAACAGATGAGAGAAAATGACAGGACAGCCTCTCCCAAAAGAGACAAGGAATGTGGTTATTTGGTCTAGGTCTACTACTAAAAATGAAAGAAGTCACAGGCCCTAATGGTTAACAATTGCTCATAAAGTTTACTTTTACTGTGTGCCAAGTCCACACAAGCCCTAAGATGGGCCCTTTATGTGGATCAGCTCCTTGAACCCCTCCACCAGTTCTATAAGGACTAGTTATTACTGTTGTTAGCTACTGTTATTCTCCCCATTTTATGGATGAGAAAACTGAGCCTTAGGGTGATTAATCTTAAAGTTAAAAAACCAGAAATGGCTAGAGGCAGGTTTCAAACCCAGTCTGACTTCAAAGCCAGCCGTCTTTGAAGTTCTCCTCACTATGACATTCTCTGTCACAATATGACCAGGTGCCAGAATCACTTGAGGAATGCTGATCCCCATTTCCTCCACCTTCTCTACCACTTCCCAACAAGATTCTATTTCCGAAGGCAGGTTGGGTTGCAAGCATCTACACATTAAAAAACAAGTAGCCTGCCCAGGTGGTTCCAATACAAATCAGAGTTGGAACAACTGACTACTATAGATAATAATGTAGGTCAATAGATTTTGTGAACTCTGAAGCACTCTATGAATGCTTTTACAATCAATAGGTTCCTTGTGGCAGAGACTTCATGTTACAGATCTTTGCATTATTTTTTCCCCACTCACTCATTGAACAAATATATTCCAGGAACAGCAAAGGCCTTTCGTAAACATCAGAAAAGGTCTCTGGAGGCAACAGATCTGAAAGACAAGCTCTGTGATTGCATATGATAATGTGCACACAGTGGGCATTCAAGCAGCAACTACTGAATTGTTGAAGAATGGTAGGATATGAGGGATATAACAAATGGAATATTTGTATGTATTGCTTTGCTTTAACCTTTTAATTGTTGTTTGGGTCAGACATGATCTTTGAGAATCACCCTTTTGGTGAGCTGCTACACAAAAAGACCTTCTACTCTGCATTGACTCTGTCAGCACTATTACCCCAACCTCCTTTCTTTTAAATACTAAACACCTATTTTCTATTGGTTTGGTGCACAAACATAATGCTTCCTGCTCTTCAGTGAGGAAGATACGTTCAATTTTCTTTTATCGTACTGGTGATGAGTTTATACTCTTCACCCATACTTTTTGTGGGCCATTAAAATTCATGAAAAGTGATATTTCAGTTGGCTGTGTCCCTAAGTTCTCAAATTCCAGTTTGGTTTACCTCTAGTTTCCTGGTAGCCATACATCAAGCATTTCTGTTATAGTAGCCAAAAAAGCAAACAAAGAAACAAGATGTGTGTTTGTAATCCTAAAGGCATGGTTTGTACACTTAGAAATTTTTTACAAATTTTGTAAAATTTTTCTCTTTTTCTATGTTTGGTCTTTGTTTCTATGCCTGATAAACAGGAAGTGCCCCAGCAGCAGTCAGCAGTTATAAATTAATTCAGACTTTCAGACATGTAAACTGTTTCTACCAAAAATAAAAGTATATCCTATAAATTAACATATCTCAGAGTATATACTTGAGGTGATCCAAAATATATTCTTTCATCAGACAAAATCTCAATTTAGTGATCAGCTCTATTAACTCATTTTCATACCATCCTAGATTCATTTTTTTCCTAAAATGATTTTAAATATATACACATAATAATTATCTTCTTAAAATGAAACAAACAAGATTCCAATCTTCTTCCCAACCCCCCAACTCCACCCTACAAGTTGCTTCTCTTTTAAAATATAACTGATTTCAGGAATTTGCCATGATTTTTTACATGAGTAAGAAAAATAAGCAGGTATAATATTTGAAAGTAATCATTCGAAAGTAACAAACATATTTAATATTAAACATTATCTCTAAAATTTAAGTCCTTCTTTGAGTGTCTAAAATAGGGGATACCCACTGGAATCTGATCTAGGATCTTTTGTTTAATTGGGAACATGGCCATGAATTTGAGAAAAGAGATCAGCCCAAGGTTTATTTACCCAGATCCTGCTCCTGTTCTAACGGCCCTTGCAGTCCATGGATCAAGGGAAATGCATTGTTATCAAAGGAAATGGAGAGGAAAGGAGGCCCAAATCATCTGGATAGTGAGCCTCCTCTCAAGAGCCTAAACTTGCCTCTTGAGGGGCAAACTGGAAACCAAGTGAGGCTCAGCACTGTCTCTGGACCAGAGAACTAGAAATTGGGCCTAGAGTTTTCTCACTTTGTTTTGCAGTCAGACTATAAACAAAGATATTTTTATTACCTTCTGAACAATTTCCCTTTCTAAACACCATTTGTCAATCAAGTTTGGGCATGCAGAGGATGCCTGCAGGGCCAGGAAAGAAAACTTCCCGATAGATAATTGTGTAGCATCCAACCCCGAATCCATGGCCTATTTTTGAGTATCTTCTGCATACCAAACACTGGGAATTTAATGGAAAATAAGAAAGGCAGGTTGATGAAAGATAGCATCAAAAGACCTAAGATGAGGCAGAAACTATGTCTCAAATAATAGAATAACATTGACTCAACCAAACTATTCTACTAACTGCAATTATATCAGAATTTCTACTTTCTGGCTTCACTGGAATTGAAGATTAAATTTTAACAAAATAAAAAGAAACAGAAAATCTACAAATCTATTTTACATTTGAATTTCCATTTACTGTATTTTGTCTTTTTGTTGTTTTTTTTTTTTTAAGAGAGGGCCAGAATGGATAGCTTCTAGAGGAAGTAGCCACTAAAATCAAACTTTCATTACCCTTATTCATGGCCCCACTGGAGCCAGATGTCATAGAGATCTTTACAACCTACAGATGAGCACTTTACCATGAGATAAGTTTGTAAGAATAAATTTTTGGGTATGGAACAAACTCTTTAAAAATAAGGCAGTCCCACCTTAAGCAAATACATGTTTTGAATAAACACCTCTGTTCTCTGGAGCCATGAGGAGCCTTTACACCATAATCATTTGAGGTATCTTAGAGCTTGAGACAGTTTCATCCTCATTGTCAAAGTGATCCAAAGTGATTATCTATCAAAACCATCTCTTTTCCAATCTTGTCTAAAAAGAATGGGTATTTCTTTTTATTTTTTAAAGTCATCTTAATGAAAAGAGAATTAAATTTGTCTTTTTTCCTAAGAAATATATTTGCTACATGCTTACCCCCCTTAGCCCATTAGAAAGTTACTACATTTTTACAAAAAGAAAAAAAAATAATAACGTTGAATCTGAGGTCCCATGGGAACTGACCAGATATAAATACAGAAAACAGGATTTGACTCCTTTGGGGCAGTTTTAATACCAAATGTTCCTATTTGTGTTTGATTAATTGCTCTCAAGGTGGTTTTCAACTCTAGAAAATGCAGGCTTTATAAACTTCATCCCCAAGGATGCAAAGTTACTTGTTTCCGGAGTGTATGTAAAGATTCATCTTATTATTATATCAATTGGGTCAAATTATAGCACTTCGGAAAGCATACGTATGCTTTTCAAAGAGGGTAAGAAAAGAGGGCTCCTGAAAGTCTCTCAGACAGATAGCACAGTGGGAGGGAAACAGAACACCCTTCTGTTTTCCATTAAAGTTATGTTCTGCACCAAGTTTGATTGCTAAACATCTGGCAGCCTTTTCTCTGATAACATAGTTCAATAGGGTGGACAGTGCTAAGCCTTTGAAGCTCCCCTTCTAACTCTTAAGTGGTAGGTGAACAAGACAGGAAGATAAGAACTCTAGATTTTTCCCTTCTATCAAAAGTGGCAAAAGAGGTTTATGGTCTTTCCTTATTATTTTTATTCTTGGAGATTCCACTGTTCCCTTTTCCTTGAATAGGATATAGGAGAAACTATGCGGAAACTACTAAAATGCTTTGCCCACCTCCACTGGCCAGGAACTAAGCCTTCTGCCTTTTCATTCACTGCTTGGAAGGAACCAATATTCATGATCATGTCTTTAAATGCTTATATTGGCCGAAAGTATTTGAGGTAATTTATAGTGAAAGAAAAAGTAGAAATATCCAAAGTGAGGAGGTCTGAAAGATTCTTCTACATCCTTTGGCTCTGATAATGAGATTATGCATCATTTGTTTTCTGACAACTCTTCCCTTCATTAAACCAGGCTATCATTTCCAACAACAACAAAAACTTATTTATGAAGCTGGAAGAAATTGTAAAGGTCACAGACCTAACTTTACATTTTACAGATGAAGGAACTCTGTCTCAAAGAGGCAAAGGGACTCATTCAATGAGACACAGTTACATAAGAGTATTTGAGGGGATTCACAAGATGCATATAGCACAGCATTTTTACAAATAAGGAAATAGTTGTTTATGAAAGGAAGGAGAA